>NC_000013.11:75983863-76135378 GCF_000001405.40 Homo sapiens | reverse complement strand
TGCTGAAAGAACATAACGAAGGGGTTAAATACATTTTCTTTTGTACTTACAATCTTGGCAAATATCAAAAATGTTCTGCACTTTCCTTACTCTATACCTCAGCTCCTAACACATTTGCTTTACCTGGAACAAGTTCCTTCCGGAATAGACCTGTCAGTCTTCTGTTGAGCTTCCCAGGCTACAGTGCAGTGGCTATTCACAGGCACAATCCCACTACTGATCAGCACAAGAGTTTTGACCCACTCCATTCACAAACTGAGCCAGTTCACCCCTCCCCAGGCAACCTGGTTGGCCTCCACACCTGGGAGGTTACCGTGTTGATGCTGAACTTAGTGCAAACACCCAATCAGCATTGCAAGTTACAGCCCAAAATTCCTGGGCTCAAGTAATCCTCCTGCATCAGCCTCTCAAGTAGCTGGGACTACAGGCATGAGCCACCAGTCCCAGCAACATGTCAAACTTTCCATGTCCCATTCAAATGCCATCTTTTCAAAAGGAAATGATCTCTCCCACTGGCAAATGTCCACAGTGCTTTTGTGCCTCCTTTATTGCATTTACCACAGGGATATACTACAGGGCATTTTCCTTATCATCTTCCAAGTTGAAATGTCCTAGGGAATGAGTAATAAAGCCTCTCTTCTTACTTCCCATGGCACTTTAGACAATGTCTTGAATGTATATATTTCTCAACAGAAAGTTTCTAAATTAATGTATAATGAATTATTCAAACTCATGAATAAGATTTTGGTGCAACTATATCTGCGATTTTGAGTGTCATTTGTCTCCTGCTCCTCCTAAAACAATATACCAAAGCTGCAGAAGTTACAAGTAAAAACAACAATAATCAAGTTTTTGCTTTTGGAAGAAGATGAAATTCTTTAAAAATGAGAAACAACAAAATAAAAATAAGGTTGGAAAGACAAAACTCTATAAAAATGCAAGAGACTACATGCTAACTGAACTCAAGTACGTACAATAAATTTCAGCATATTGTAACTTTTCAAAATCCTTTGTAACTTACATAATAAAATCAAGACGAACGAAATGAAATTTTTGATGTGTGGCTAAATTCTGCAGTAAAATATAATCTACACTGTGACCAAGATGCTGTCAATATTCCACTTAGCTTTACTAAGCTTAAAACTTTTTTTTTTTTTACTATAGACGCTGACCTCCCTTTTCTTAGAGGATATACTTTAGAAAACATACTGTAATTTCTTCCTCTGCCCCTTTCAGACATAAAGCTACTCCCAACCTCTTAACAGTTTTACAACCCAGGAATGCCTTTCTCAAGGACCAGGGAACCATCTATTTAGAGCGTAATCATCAAGAAAGATAGTGTCCCTATCTCCTGGCCTCTGTGGGAGAGTAGGAACCTAACTTTAATAAGTGCCAAAGAGCAAATGCAGATGACCTAATGACATTAACCAGTCAGCCACCTAACATCCTCCATTTCTTTCCCACCAGCTCATCCCCATTTTTAACAACTCTCTATCTTTTGTTTCAGTGGAGTTAAGTTCAATCCCTCTCTCTTATTACATAGTCTTGAATAAAGTCTCCCTTGCCTGTTTAACTTCATCTGGTGCAATTTGTCTTTGGCAACTGTCACCTCAAAGAATTATTAATTTATGGATGTTAGATTCAGAAAGAGGGGATTAAGAAAAATAATGGTTTTAACAATCCATTGTGAACTAGGTTCATTAAAGGTCAATCTGTATCCTTCAATAACTTGCCCCTGGATGTGGTTATCAAAGACAAAAGACTGGGCAGAAGTGGACAGAAGACTGAATCCAGGATGGCATTTATTTATTCAGTCATTTTATTCATTTAGACTATAATATGTATTCACTTAACAACTTTTAAATACCAGGCATTGTGAATAGGTATTTAATATTAAAAAGATGATACCTGATTTTTTCCCACTTGGACCTCACAATCAAGACTTAGGTGACAAAATGTAGATAGCCATACAGTACAATGTGATAGATGCTCTCCTAAAATCTCTGATACCAGTACGAATTCCTACCTCATCCATGTCACAACCTCAACTCCGCTTCCTTGTGTTCCTGATGAGGCAGCCCAGACCTGACATCAACAGCTGATGGCTTCGTAATGAAGAGAGAAGGCAGAATTCCCAGATCCTAGTCTAGTTGTTTTGCTCCTATTTCAAGTAAGTAAATGTTCTCCATCCAGGTGACTATACTTCTGGGCATTCTTCACTGAGTCCTCAGCTTTGGTAACACACTCTTCTGACTTCTGATGTGTTTTATTTGCTAACTTAAATGTCTCTTCCATTTCTTATACTTCAACCCACATAGATGAATAGTAATTAACCTCCAATTAGACTTACTCTGACCCTGAATAATTTGTATATTAAGGTTAGAAATAGGTATTAATGGGTGACATTGAAATTTAGCACAGTTGAAGAATGGTCCTTCTCAAAATTTATATTCTATCACCTAAACATTTCCATTTTTAGGTCAGGGTCAGAAACTACCAGAAATTAGGAAATTCACAACTAATATTAGTCACCTTTACAATAGGATTATAAATCTGCCTAAAAGAGCACAGTTTTATTGATCTTTCTTGCTGTGAATAATACGACACAATCTTTCCTCCTGTCCTTGCTTACTGATTTAGTTTGCTTGTTGCCATGGTGACAAATCCATAATCTCAGGAGATCACTGTTTTGAACCCTGAATCTTTTGACCCTCTGAAACCAGCAATATAGACAAGGTAGAAAAGCAAGCTCTAAAATCCCTTCAAGTGGACCAGTTTATGGAAATACATGTTCTGCTGCTATGCTCTCAACTATACCCAGTATAAAATTACATGTATTTTAAAGAGAAAAAATATAATAGGCTTCAAGCTTTGCATTTTTAAACTATTGTGAGATTACTTTTATGAAAAATTATGTTAGGACCTGTCCCCAGGCTTCCATGCATAACAATTTGGACTTTACAAAAGGCACCATGATTAACTTTTAGATATTTGGTATTTCAGTTTAAAAGCATGAAGAAATATTATGTATAAAGTAGGTTTTATCCTACAATAATCTTACAATTCATTTGCATGTTAAAATAAAGTTCCTAATGGAAAATATTATAGAAAAGAAAAATAAATCTGCTTATAAACTATGACTTTAGGGTTGTTGTTGTTGTTGTTGTTGTTGTTTTGCTTAAAAATAAAAGGGGGAAAATCTCTTAGGATTAGGACCCAAATTAGGGTATAAATGAATTGACCACATCTCAGCATAATTATTGATACATTTACTTATTATTCATGAACTATTTATTGAGCTATACCATGTGACAGTCAATGTTCTCAGCCTCTACACAAAAATGTATGAATTATGTCAACTGCTTTTGGTTTTATAAAGCTCCCATTCCACAAGTCAGGAGAGAACCAACAATAAACAAACACACACACACACACACACACACGCGCGCGCGCAGGATGGTGTTCAGTAGTCCTAAGTGCCAGGAAAAAAAATCAAACAGTGATTTGATCAAGGTAACTCTGGGCATGTTCCGGAACAAAGAAACAAGCAAAAGAGGAGTATGTCTAGTAAGTAGAGTGAGTGAAGGAAGAGGAGGAAAGGGAAGAAGTGAAGCCAAGAGAGGCTGAAGCCAAGAGAGGCTGGAGCCAAATCTTGTAGCACATTGAAGAGCACTTTAAAGAGTCTCGATTTTATTCAAGTGCAGTGAGAAGTCATTGGAGGACAGTAAATCTGATTAGTGTAAATATGATTAGATTTGCATTTCTTAAAGTAGCTGCTAGATATTTTGTTCTTTACAGCTATAATTTGATTGTCTTTTTGGAAGTTACCAAGCAATTTAATTTGGCACAGTTTTGTATTATTTGAACATTAACATGGACAGATCATACATGCATAACCCCAGTGATTGCTGGAATAACTTCTAGGCATGAAATCAGTGTCAATCCCCTTAATTATTGTCAGTCTTAAGCTTTATTATTGTCATGTTGTTAATTATGATGCTTATAATGATATCACTACTGATAGTAGATACCATTTATTTTTTATTTATTTTATTTTTTTATTATACTTTAAGTTCTAGGGTATATGTGCACGATGTGCAGGTTTGTTACATATGTATACATGACTGGATTAAGTAGATACCATTTATTAAAAAGTTACCATGATTCGGAAACCATTCTAAATACTTTGTATAATATACTACATTTAAGCCTTATAATAAAATTATTTCGTGTATACAATGTCTATTGTATAGAAGAAAAAACAGAGCCTTGGAATGATTCAATGGCCTTACTGACTTCAAGCAAAGTAGAAAATGAATCAGGATTCAAGCCCAGATCCATCCAACCTCATAAAGCAAACTCTTAACCATCGTACTTTTCTGACTTTAAATGTAACCAGGTGATTATTTAAAATTTCTTTGAAAAAATATGAACCCAAAATATCTTTTGAATTCAAAGGTTAAATGTTATCCACAAGGTATATAACACCAATATTCAGTTTTGATTAGAAATCCATTAGTATTTATTATTTTTTGTTCTCAAATATATAAGATTAGAACAAGTTACAACACCGGTACTTTCACTTAATCTACTAAATTTTCGTTAAGACAATACTTGGAGGTTATACTGAAATATAGTAAAAACAAAAAGTGGTCAGCAACAGCAAGGATCCATTGTTAAATGAATAGTATTTCAACAAATAAGAAAAAAAAACCCCACAAAACTAAAAAATTAAACCTACCAGTGTTTCCTGTCTTGATTTTCAGTGTTCTGCCCCTGATAAATCAGAGTGAGTAATTCACATTTTATCAATTTTCTGAATTCTAACAAGATAACCTTCTTTAGTGTCTCCCAGAAAGACTGGGGCCTAGAATATAGCAAAATATTCTGCTTTTCCTGAAGCTGCTGTTGCTTCATTACCAGTGTTAGGCATTCTGTTGGGCCCCTAGCTAGCACATCATAGGGGCCCCTTCTTAATCTTCTGCAGTTCAGTTTTTGCTTAGAATGACATAAATGTCTTTTAACTACAGTGTTTTACTTTCCATTAGCAACCACCTTCTAATATTCACTACCTAATCTCTGTTTTTTTAATGAACCTAATAATCATATACTATTTCCACCTTCATTTCTCTCTCTTGGCTCCCTGTCACCTGCATCAACACTTGTTGACATTGCCCATCCATGCACGTGGCTTTGGGAGAAAGGTAAGAAAAAAAAAAAAGTAAAAAAATATCAAGTGACTCTTAGGCCTTCTGCTTTATTCTTATTTGATTCTGTCTAATATCTGTATTTTATGAAATATTATATCTCTAATAGCTGTTTGATCAGTTTAACATTTAAGGAAAAAAATGACAATGACCTGTTACCACCTCCATTTTATGATGAAGCAAAATTAGTTATCAAATCACAGAAACTACAGCAAACTTTCAAGATGTTTACTTTCAGCTAAAGAAAAAAAAAAAAAGACAGACTATTGCAGGGCCTCTGTGTTCTTCCCCCCCAGCACACATGTACTATGGAAGGATAGGCTGCCAATTGCTCTTGAAGGATTTGTTATTTAATCACTTCCAGGCCTTCACTCAAATGTTATTCAAGCGTTTTTAATGCACTAAGCACCAAAAGGAATGATATTGTCCCTCCTTGCAAAACACAACGTTTTAGGAGGAGGGAGATGATATGACATAAATTCCACAGTCCAGGGCTGAATACAAGTTCAGAAAGAGAGGTGCAGAGTTTTATGTTAAACTAGAGAATAAAGGATTCACTTTAAGAGGATTAGGGAAAGCTTTGATGGAGAAGTAATACTCAACCCCTTTAAGAAGGGCAGGATTTTGACGGGCAGATTAGAGAGGGAGCGGTTGTTGAAGAAAGCATTTGAGGCATCAGAAAGGGCATGGACAAAGTGAATTCAGTGTAGTTAAAAATAGCAGGGGCTGGTACGTCTGAGACGCAAGTGTGAGTGCAAGTCCTTTCACTTACTAATGATCACATACATGGTCCTTCATCTCCACATCTGTAAAATGTGGGTTGAACTAGATCATCTTCAATGTTGCCTTAAGTTCTTAAATTCTGTGATGTTTAAAATACAGGGGTGAGAAGTCACAGGAAATAATTGAAGAACAGCAAGGAGAACAGTTTATCTGAACACTTCATTATACACAAATAATGAGAAGTAAATTTAGGAGAATTTATTAGGGCCATGGAATATGTTGAATGCTGGGTTACGTATTTGAGCAATATATGGTAGTCCTTGGAGATTCAGTGAAGATATTCCACACAATCCAAAATTTGTTTCAGATCAATCTGGTTACAGTTTGTAGGTTGGAATGTTGAAAAAGCATGGGATGTTGGCTCCTTCCCCTAATTTGCTCATGAACTTCAGAACCACAGCATGTTTATCGCCATTTCTACCCCAGCAACAGGCAAGTAGGAAAAAAATGGAACAGAATATTAAGTCCAGCCCAAGGCCCATAAGACTTGAAATATAGTATAGATGGCATCTCAAAACAGTGGGGATAGGTAATTTGATAGATTTTATTTTTTAAAATTTGTTCGTTATGTGGAGAAAGACAAGGTTAAACCCCTACCACCTACCCTATGCAAAGATGGACTATACACAGAATAGAAACTTAATATAGAAGACATAAATACAAACCAAACTGAAGAAAACATAAGGGAATATCATTGTGAATTATAATTGGAAATATTTCTTGAAGGCAAATATTCCAAAAGCATGAGCTATAAAGCCAAAGAGATACGTATTTCATAAATCAAAATTAAGGATTTCTGTTTAATGAAGGTTCCCATAGTGAGAGTTAACAGAAAGATGGCAGTTGGAAAGAAGATATGTCAAAGATCCAAATGCAAACAATAAGTAATATCTGTTATAGAAAGAACTCTAATAAAACCAGTAAAAGATAGTAAACCCAACTTAGAAAATGAAAAAAGGCCAGAAAAAAAGCAATTCATAGAAAAAAGTTTAAATATGTACTAATGCTTAAACTCATTACTAATCCAAGATGTGAAGATTACACCAAAAATAAATATGTCTTTACAACTGTAAAAAAATAGGTGAAATTAGAAGACTGGAAATCCAATTTTTTTTGGTGAGTATATGGGGATAAGGGAACATTATGCACTTTTAGTGGAAAAAAAATCTTGATACAGTTATTCTGGGAATTAACATAATGAAATAGTGCTGAATGTTCAGTATGGTAATAGTCCTGGGTATCCATAGTGATATGGTTTGGATGTTTGTCCCCTCCAAATCTCCACATTACATATTGAAATGTGATCCTCAGTGTTGGAGATGGGGCCTAGTGGAAGGTGATTGTGGACAGATCCCTCATTAATGGTTTAGCACCATTCTCTTAATGGTAAGTGACTTCTGTCTCAGTTAGTTCATGCAAGATTTTGTTATTTAGAAGTGTCTGAGACCTCTCCTGCTTTCTTGTTCCTGCTGTCACCATGTGACATGCATGTTTCCCCATTGCCTTCTACCATAATTGGAAGCTTCCTCAGGCCCTCCTCAGAAGTCAAGCGGATTCCAGCACCATGCTTCTGTATGGCCTGCAGAACTGTGAGCCAATTAAACCTCTTTTCTCTACAAATTCCACAGTATTATTCTTTTATAGCTATGTAAAAAGCAGTCTAACACAGAAAATTGGTACTGAGGAGTGTGGTGTTGCTATAAAAATATCTAAAAAATCTAGAAGCAGCTATGGAACTGGGTAAGAAACACAGGTTGGAAGAGTTTGAAGGGCATAGAAGATAGAAAGAAAAGGGAAAGTTTTGAACTTCTTAGAGACAGTTTAAATAATTGTGACCAAAGTGCTAATACAGGTATGGAGAATCCATCATGTAAGGAGCTTTTCTTTATGAAAGAAAAATTCAAATTATTCTCTTCAAGTATTTTTAAAACATACAAGATTATCATGAACTATAGTCACCCAACTGACATATCAAACACTAGGTCTAATTTCTTCTATGAACCTGTATGTTTGTACCCATTAATCAACATCTCATCCTCCCTTCCCCCTAATCTTCCTGATCTCTGGTAACCACTGATCTACTTTCTCTATATTCATGAGACCCACTTATTTAGCTCCCACATATGAATTAGAATGTGCAATATTTTTCTTTCTGTGCTTGCCTTATTTTGATTAACATAATGACTTTCAGTTCCATCAACTTTTGTGGCAAATAATAGGACTTATTTTTTATAGCTGAATAGTATTTCATTGTGTATATATACATTTTCTTCTTTTTTTTTCTTTTTCTTTCTTTTTTTTTTTTTTTTTTTTTTGAGACAGAGTCTCGCTCTGTTGCCCAGGCTGGAGTGCAGTGGCGGGATCTCGGCTCACTGCAAGCTCCGCCTCCCAGGTTCACGCCATTCTCCTGCCTCAGCCTCCCAAGTAGCTGGGACTACAGGCGCCCACCACCACGCCCGGCTAATTTTTTGTATTTTTAGTAGAGACAGGGTTTCACCGTTTTAGCCGGGATGGTCTCGATCTCCTGACCTCATGATCCGCCCGCCTCGGCCTCCCAAAGTGCTGGGACTACAGGCGTGAGCCACCGCGCCCGGCCTACATTTTCTTTATTCATTCATCTATTGACAGGCACATAGATTGATTCCATATTTGGCTATTATGAATAGTGCTGCCATAAACATGGGAGTGCAGTTACATCTACAATATATTAATTTTGGGGGTATATTAATGGAATTGCTGGATGACATGGTAGTTTATTTCTAGTTTTTTTAAGGAACCTCCATACAGTTTTCTATAGTGGCTCTACTAATTTACATTCCCACCAACAGTATATAAGGATTCCCCCTTCTCCATGTCCTTGCCATCATCTATTAGTCCTTGTCCTTTTAATAAAAGCCATTTAAATTGGGGTGAGATGATATCTCATTGTGGTTTTGATTTGCTGATGATTAGAGATGTGGAACTTTTTTTTTATATCAGTTGGCCATTTGTATGTCTTCTTTTGAAAAACATCTATTCAGATTTTTCTTTTTTGTCATGACCATGATTCATCCGACCAGAAAACAATGGAGAGGAAGCAGAAATGTTGCAGAACCTTCAATTCTGGTGGTTAATGACTGAATTCTCTATGGAAAATAATGATCTTCCACTCTGGGAGTAAGAAAAGCTAATCCATTCAGTTCATTTGATACACAACAAACTTTAACTGAAGCATCTATGAAAACCTGCAAAGCAGAGAAAATTTATGAACACTATAGTAGCCAACAGCATTCCTTTTCAGAACCCTTATAAATGTCTTTGAAATGGCAAGTACACAAACTCTCCCTCATGTATGAGTCACCTAACATCAACATTTTAGAATCAGGCTGGCATAAGTCAGTTTTACAGTCATTATAGAAGTTCCTACAATCCAATCATATGTAAATTGGTGGAATAAATAGGAAGCTAATAATACTTTTCAATCATGGTAACTTCTCTAAGGAGACAGTTTTCTTTTTTGAAGTAATCCATTCCAAATGTATTTATATTTTTTATTTTAAAATTTCAACTTTTGTTTTAGATTCAGCGAGTGTATGCACAAGTTTATTACCTGGGTAGATTTCATGATGCTGAGGTTTGGGGTTATGATTAATCCCATCACCCTAGTACTAAGCACACTACTCAAAAGTTAGTTTTCAAACCCTTGCCCCCTCCCTCCCTGAAGTAGTCCCCAATGTTAATCGTTGCCATATTTATGTCCATGAGTCTACATTGTTTAGCTCCCACTTATGAAATCAGGTAGTATGATAGTTTATTCTCATGCTGTTATGAAGAAAATACCTGAGAGTGGGAAATTTATCAAGAAAAAGAGGTTTAATTGGCTCACAATTCCACATAGCTGAGGACCTCTCACAGTCATGGTGGAAGGCAAAAGAGGAGCAAAGGCAACATTGACAGGGTGGCAGGCAAGAGCCAAGTGAAGGGGAAAACCCCTTATAAAAACAATCAATTCTCATGAGAATTCACTCATGACCATGAGAAAAGTATAGAGAAAACTGCCCCCATGATTCAGTTATCTCCACCTGATCCTGCCCTTGACATGTGGAAATTATTACAATTCAAGATGAGATTTTTGGTGGCAACACAGTCAAATCTTTCCACTGCCGGCACCTCACAAATCTCATGTCCTCCCATTTCAAAACACATTCATGCCTTTGCAACGGTCCCCCAAATCTTAACTCATTCCAGCTTTCATCCCAATGTTCAAGATCAAAGTCTCATCTGAGACAAGGCAAGCCCCTTCTGCCTATGAGCCTGTAAAATCAAAAGCAAGTTAGTTACTTCCTAGATACAATGGGGGTACAGGCATTGGGTAAAGACACCTATTCCAAATGGGAGAAGTGGCCAAAACAAAGGGATTACAAGCCCCATGCAAGTCTGAAGTCCAGTGGGGCAGTCAAATCTTAAAGCTCCAAAATGATTATTTTTGACTCCATGTCTCACATCCAGGTCACACTGATGCAAGAGGTGGGCTCCCATGGCCTTGGGTAGCTCTGCCCCTGTGGCTTTTCAGGGTACAACTCTGCTCCTGGCTGCCTTCATGGGCTGGTGCTAAGTGTCCCAGTGGGGACTCTATGTGGGAACCCCCACCCCACAGTTTCCTTCTGCACTGCCCTAGCATAGGTTCTCCATGAGGGCCCTGCCCCTGGAGCAAACTTCTTCCTGGACACCCAGGCATTTCCATACATCTTGTGAAATCTAGGCAGAGGTTTCCAAGCCTCAATTCTTGACTTTTGTGCACCTGCAGGCTGAACGCCACATGGAAGTTGCCAAGGCTTGGGGCTTGCACCCTCTGAGGCCATGGCCCAAGCTTACACTGGCCCCTTTTAGCCACAACTGGAATGGCTGGGTTGCAAGGCACCAAGTTCCTAGGCTGCACATGGCAGAAGGGCCCTGGGCTCAGTCCACAAAACCATTATTTCCTCCTAGGCCTCTGGGCCTGAGATAGGAGGGGCTGCCAGGAAGGTATATGACATGCCCTGGAGACACTTTCCCTGTTGTTTTGGTAATCAACATTTGGCTTATTACGTATGCAAATTTTTGCAGCCTGCTTGAATTTCTCCTCAGAAAATTGGTTTTCTTTTCTATTGCATCATCAGACTGCACGTTTTCCAAGCTTTTATGCTCTGCTTCCCCTTTAAGCATAAGTTCCAATTCTAAGCCTTATCTTTGTGAGTTAATAAAACTGAATGCTTTTAAGAGCACCCAAGTCATGTCTGGAACACTTTGCTCTTAGAAATTGTTTCCACCAGATGCCCTAAGTCATTTCTTTCAAGTTCAAAGTTCCACAAATCTCTAAGGCAGGGGCAAAGTGCCACCAGTCTCTTTGCTAAAGCATAACAAGAGTCACCTTTGCTCCAGTCCCAACCAGTTTCTCATCTCCATCTGAGACCACCTCAACATGGACTTCATTGCTCATATCACTATCAGCATTTTGGTCAAAATCATTCAACAGGTCTCTAAGAATTTCCAAATTTTCCTACATTTTTCTGTCTTCTTCTGAGCCCTCCAAACTGTTCCACTTCTGCCTGTTACCCAGTTCCAAAGTTGCTTTCACATTTTCAGGTATCTTTACATTAGCACCCCACTCCTGGTACCAATTTACTGCATTAGTTCATCCTCATGCTACTATGAAGAAAATATCCCAGACTGGGTAATTTATCCAGAAAAACAGGTTTAATGAACTCACAGTTCTATATGGCTGGGGAGTCCTCACAATCATGGAGGAGGGTGAAGAAGGTGCAAAGGCACATCTTACATGGCAGCAGGCAAGAGATAATGAGAGCCAAGTGAAAGGGAAACCCCTTATAAAACCATCAGATCTCGTGAGAACTCACTATCATGAGAACACTATGGGGAAACCACCCTCATGATTGACTTATCTTCACCTGGTACCACCCTTGACATGTGGGGATTATGGGAATGACAATTCAAGATGAGGTCTGGGATGAGGAGATGGCCAAGCCATATATTGCAGTATTTGGTTTTCTGTTTCTGTGTTAATTTGCTTAGGATAATGGCCTTCAGCTGCATCCATGTTGCCACAAAGGACATGATTTCATTCTTTTTATAGCTGCATAGTATTCCATGTTTTACACGTGCCACATTTTATCTGGTCCACCATCAATGGGCACTTATGTTGATTCCACATCTTTGCTGTGATAAACATATGAGTGCATGTGTTTTTTTTTGATGGAATGATTTATTTTATTCTTGATATATACTCAGTAATGGGATTGCTGGTCAAATGGTAACTCTGTATTGAGTTCTTTTATAAACCTCCAAACTGCTTTCCATAGTGGCTCCACTAATTTACATTCCAAGCAATAGTGTATAAACATTCCCTTTTCTCCATATCCATGTCAACATTTGTTTTTTTTTTTACTTGAACAATAACCGCTCTGAGTGGTATGAGATGGCATCTTATTGTGGTTTTGATTTGCATTTCTTTAATGATTTGTGATGATGAGCATTTCTTTCATGTTTGTTGGCAACTTGTGTGTTTTCTTTTGGTAAGTTTCTGTTCATGTACTTTGCCCACATTTAATGCAGTTATGTGTTTTTTGTTTGTGCAATTGTTTAAGTTCCTTATAGATTCTGGATATTAGACCTTTGTTGGATGCACCATTTGAAAATATTTTCTCCCTTTCCGTAGATTTTCTATTTACTCTCTTGATAGTGTATTTTAATGTGCAGAAGCTCTTTAACCAGGTTTCACTTGTCAATTTTGTTTTTAATGTAATTGTTTTTGAGGACTTAAACATAAATTTTTTCCCAAGGCTGATGTCCAGAATGGTGTCTCCTAGGCTTCCTTCTAGGAGTCTTATAGACTGAGGTCTTACATTTAAATCTTTAATCCATCTTAATTTTTATATATGGTGAGAGGTAGGAAACTAATTTCATTCTTTCACATATGGCTAGCAAGCTATCCCAGCACCATTTATTGAATAGAGAGTTTTTCCCCCATTGCTTATTTTTGTCAACTTTCTCAAAAAATAAGATGGCTGTAGATGTGAAGCTTGATTTCTGAGTTTCTATTCTGTTCCATTGGTCTATGTGTCTGTTTCTACACCAACCACATACTGTTTTGGTTGCTGTAGCCTTATAGTATAGTTTCAAGTCAGGTAACATGACGCATCTGGCCTTGTTTTGCTTAGGGTTGCTTTGGCTTTATTTTTTGGTTCCATATGAATTTTAGAATTTTTTTTTAGTTCTGTGAACATGATATTGGTAACTTGATAGAAATAGCATTGAATCTGTAGATTGATTTGGACTGTATGGCCATTTTAATGGTATTGATTCTTCCTAACCATAAGCATGAAATATATTTAACATGTGTTTGTGTCATCTATGATTTCTTTCAGCAGTGTTTTGTAGTTTTCCTTGTGAGATCTTTCTTTGCTTTGTTAGACGTATTTCTAGGTATTGTGTGTGTGTCTCTCTCTCTCTGTGTCTGTGGCTGTTGTAAATGGAGTTGTGTTCCTGATTTGGCTCTCAGCTTGAATGTTATTGGTGTATAAAATTGCTAGTGATTTTTGTTCATTGATTTTGTATTCTAAAACTTTTCTGAAGTCCTTTATCAGTTCCAGGAGTCTTTTGGTGAGGTCTCTAGCCTTTTCTGGGTTCAGGATCATATCATCAGCAAAAAGAGATGTTTCTCCTCTTTTTGCTATTTAGATGGCTTTTACTTTTTTCTTTTTCCTGATTGCTCTGGGAAGGTCTTCCAAAACCATATTGAGTAGGCATTATGAGAGTGGACATCCTTGTGATGGAACTGGACATTCCATTTCTCCATGGGAATGGTTCTAGTTTTTGCCCATTCAGTATGATGTTGGCTGTGGGTTTGTCATAGGTGACTTTTATTTTTGAGTTACATTCCTTTGATGTCTCGTTTCTTGAGAGTTTTTTTCATGAAGGGATATTGGATTTTATCCAAAGCTTTTTCCACATAATTGTGAGCATATGGTTTTAAAATTCTGTTTATGTAGTGAATCACATTTATTAATTGGGGTATGTTGAACCAATCTTGCATCCAAGGGATGAAGATTAGTTGGTCAGGATAAAATAACTTTTTAATGTGCTGCTGGATCTATTTTGCTAGTATATTGTTGGGAATTTTTGCATTTGTGTTCATCAGGGATATTGGCCTACAGTTCTTTTTTTCATTGCTTCTTTGCCAGGTTTTGTTATCAGGGTGATGTTGGTTTCATAGAATTAGTTATGATGGAGTCCCTCCTCCTTGGATATTTTGAATAGTTTCAGTAGGATTGGTACTAGGTTTCTTGTTACATGTGGTAGAATTTGGCTGTGAATCTATCTTGCCTGGGCTTTTTTTGGTTGGTAGGTTTTATTACTAATTTAATTTCAGAATTAATCCCAAAATTTAGAAATCTAGTTCCTCTAGATGGATATCATTAATTTTAGATCTCTATAACTTTTCAAATAGGCTTTTAGCTCTATAAATGTTCCCTTAACGCTGTTTTTTTTTTTTCTTTTCTTTCTTTTTTTTTTTTTTTTTTTGCATCCCAGAGATTGTGGTATGTTGTGTCTTTGTTTTAATTTAGTTAAAAATTTTTTATTGCTTAATTTCATTGTTTACCCAAAAGTCATTCAGGAGCAAGTTGTTTAATTTCCATATAATTGTGTGTTTTTGAGAGATTGTCTTGGTATTGATTTCTATTTTTTATTCCACTGTGGTTTGAGAGAATGGTTAGTATAATTTTCATTACTTTGAATTTATTGAGGCTTGCTGTATGGCCTTGCATGTGGTCAATATTTGAGTACATTCTAAGTGCAGATGAGAAAAATGTATATTCTGTATTTGATGGGTGGAGTAGTCTGTCGACATTCATTAGATTCATTTGCTCAAAAGTGAGTCTAAGTCCAGAATTTCTTTGTTAGCTCTCTGCCTCATTGATCTGTCAAATGCTTTCAGCGGGGTATTGAAGTCCCCCACTATTATTGTGTAGCTGTCTAGGTCTTTTCATAGGTCTACTAGTACTTGTTTTGTTAATCTGGGTGCTCCAATTTTGTGTACATATATATTTAGAATAGTTAAGTCTTCTTGTTGAATTGAAACTTTTGTCATTATGTATTGCCTTATAAGTGTCTTCATGTATAAGCTGGGTCTCTTACAGCAGACAGATGGGCCTTGCTTTTGTAATCTAACTTGTCACTCTGTGCCTTTCAAGTGGGGGCATTTAGACCACTTACATTTAAGTGGTTAATATCAATATATGAGGTTTTGATCTTATCATGAAGTGGTTAGTTTGTTGTTTAGTAGTTTCTATTGTGTAGATGCTTTATACAGTCTGCGGGGTATGTATTTATATGTGTTTTTGTGGCAGCAGGTAGCATTCTTTCATTTCCATGTTTAGAACTCCCTCAATGTTCTATTGTAAGGTTTGTCTAGTGGTAGTGAATTCCCTTAGCATTTTTTATCTGGAAAATATTTTATTTCTCCTTTGCTTATGAAACTTGGTTTGATGGGATAAGAAATTCTTGGTTGGAATTTCTTTTCTTTAAGAACACTGAAAGCGGACCCTCAGTCTTTCCTAGCTTTTAAGGTTTCTGCTGAGAAGTCCACTGTTAGCCTAAGGGGTTCCCTTTGTACCTGATCTGACCTTTTTCTCTAGATGCCTTTGAGATTTTTTTTCTTTGGCATTGACCTTGGATGGTCTGCTGACTATGCCTTGGTGGGTTTTTTTAATATAGTATTTCACTGGTGATGTCTGGAATTCCTGTATCTGGATGGCTACCTCTGTAGAGAGATTAGAGAAAATTTTCTTGAATTATCCCCTCATGTTTTCTGGGTTGTTTTCTTTTTCTCCCTCTCTCTCATCACAGGTTTGGTCACTTTAGATAATCCCATATTTATTACAGACTTTGCTCATTTTTTTAAATTATTTTTTCTTTACTTTTGACTGACTTAGTTTGAAAGAACAGTCGTTAAGCTCTGAAATTCTTCTACTTGATCCAGTCCATTGATAAAGCTTTCCATTGTATTTTGAAATTATTTAAGTCAGTTTTTCAATTCCATAAGCTCAGATTACTTTTTAAGATATTCATCTCTTCCTGCATTTCCAGGATTGCTTTAGAAATTTCTTTGTGTTTATTTTCAATCTTTTCTTGGATCTCATTGAGCTTCCTTGCAATCTATATTTTGAAGTCTTTTTCTGTCACATCTGAGTTTCCATTTTGGTTAAGCCCCATTGCTGGGGAGTGAGTGTGATCTTTTGGTGATGTCACTACACTCAGATTTTTCATGGTGCCAGAATCCTTGTGCTGGTCTCTTCTTATCTGGAGATGTTGGCACTTGTAATTTTTATAATAATTTATATGTGGGTAGGATTTTTTCTTTTTCTTTATTTCCCTATAATATTGAGTTTTTTTCCTTCTTTCCCTCCTCCTTTCCTCAGGTGTGTGGCTGTAGAGAATGCTGGGTAGGGTCTTTTGGCTTTGCTTCTATAGCCCTGTGCACTTCTGTCAACAAGCTTTATATTAGGCTGTGCAGTTTGACTTACAAGCCAGTATATTGTGCTTATGGGTAAAAGCCAGCTGTGGCCAACACAGCTAGGTATATACTTTATCTTTGTTTAACGGGAGATACTCCCAGTTGCCTCATTAATGGTCTGATTTGTGGAGTTCCCAGTGGTCTGAGCTCCCACCTCTCTTGGGGGGATGTGTGGCAAGATGGGCAGGGTCAGACCAGGAAGGTTCACCTACAGATCCCCCAGTGGCAGGCATAAGCACCAGCACCAAGGTAGAATCCAGTGGGTAACCTCCAATCACCCAGAGGTATGCCTAGGCATGGAGCTGAAAGATCTTTCTCAAGTTCTCTGCATGGGAATAGGGGGCAGCCTAAATTCTTAATTCAGGAGAGTGGGTGCTCCCAATTCCTAGAGCTCTGCCTGGGCTTACAGCAGAGAGAGCCGCAATGCACCATCATCTATATGTAGGAAGGGTTGGAAAATTCAAGCTGCTGATCCAGGTGAGTGGCTGCTCCAGATGCATGGAGATCTGCTTGGGGACAGAGCGGAGAGGGCCCGACTGCACAAGATCTCTGCACAGGAAGGGTGGGACAACTCAGGCTGCCAGTCAGTGTGAGCAGGTGCTGCAAATGCCTGGAGATCTGCCTAGGCATGAAGTGAAAAGGGCTTCATGGCACTACAATCTATGCCAGGGAGGATAGGGCAACTCACCTGCTGGTTCAGACAAGCCCGTGTTCCAGATGCCTAAATTTCTGCCTGGGGATGGAGCAGAGAGGGCCCCACTGTACCATAATCTCAGGGGTTCAGGCTAGGGCACCCAGCAGGGACACAAGCAGACCAGTTCCAGGTGACCAATCTGGACCTTACAGCAAGTCTCATCGTCTAGGAAAAACTGAAGCTGTAGCAGCTCTCCTTCTACACCAGGTCTGGCTGGGGGAGAGCACAATTCTTTTGCCTACTGCTAAGGTATTTTCCACAGTTCTGGTTGTGGAGGCCTCTACCACACTTCAGATTAGGCCCTCTAAGCTCTGCCCCAAGACTAAAATGCCTGTATGATCACACTGCTGGGTGACCAAAGAATGGCTGACTTTGTATGTGCCTGCAATCAAAATGGCATCCTGCACTTATTCTTGGGTTTGGGAAAATTCTGCAGCTTTTCCCGGGGTCTTTCTCTCATAGTCTCTCCAAGCCTCTCCCTAAGTTAGCTCCAGAGTTTAAGAGACAAAGTGCTCTTCCTCAGCCTGGGTTGCTCAGATCCCCAGTGGAAAGGTGAGTCGGTCACAGAGGGAGGCTCTCTGCCTCTCTCACATATGGGGCCTTCACTCACACCAGTTCGATGCTGTCACGGGGACGGTTTGCCTGCATTCTCTTCCCAGGGATCTGAGGTTTCCTTCACAATTTTAGTGAGTTCCTGTTTTCCCTATTGAATTAAAGATCAGAGAGTTGATCTTTATGTACTATCTTGCCATTTCCAAGTGTCTGAGAGACGCTAAAAAACTTCTGCCATCTTGGAAAAGCAAGCTGTATTCAGATATTTTGCTCATTTTTGAATCTAATTACATTTTTTTTGCCATTGAGTTGTGTTTCTCATATATTCTGGTTATTAATTCCTTGATGAATTGATAGTTGGCAAACATTTTCTCCTGTTCTGTGGGTTATTTCTTCACTTTGTTGACTGTTTCCTTTGCTCTGCAGAAACTTTTTAGCTTGATGTAATCCTAATCGTCTGTTTTTGATTTGGTTGTCTGTGCTTTAGATATTTTATACAGAAAAAAATTGCTTAATGTCTTGGAGCACTTCCCCAATGTTTTCTTCAAATAGTTTCATAGATTGAGTTCTTAGATTTAAATCTTTAATCCATTTTGATTTTATTTTTGTATATGGCAAGAGATAAGGGTCTAGCTTCACTCTTCCTCATAGGGTTATCTAGTTTTCCCAGCACCATTTATTGAAGAAGATTTCTTTCCTTAGTTTAAGCTCTTGGGAACTTTGTTGAAAATAAGCTGGCTGTAAATACACGGATTTATATCTGGGTTCTCTATCCTGTTCCATTGGTTTGCTTTTATGCCAGCACAATGCTGTTTTGATTGCTACAGCTTTGTAGTAAATTTTGAAATCAGGTAGTGTTACGCCTCCAGCTTTGTTCTTTTTGCTCAGACTTGCTTTGGCTATGTAGAATCCTTTGTAATTCCACATAAGTTTTAGAATTCTTTTTTCTATTTCTGAGAAGATTGCATTGGCATTTTGATAGATTGCATTGAATCTGTAAATTGCTTCTGATAGTATTGTCATTTTAACAATATTAATTCTTCCAATCAATGAGCATAAACTGCCTTTCCATTTCTGTGTATCCTCTTCAATTCCTTTCACCAGTTTTTCAGTTTTTCCTGCATAGATCATCCCTATCTTTTCTTAAATTGATTCTTAGGAATTTTATATTCTTTGTGGCTTTTGTAAATGGGGTTGCTTTCTTCATTTTTCATATTGTGCACTATTGGTATACACCAGTGCTATTGATTTGATATGTTTATTTTGTATTCTGCTACTTTACTGAATTTGCTTATCAATTCAACTAGTTTTCTTTTGGTGGAGTCTTTAGTTCTAAGATCATGTTATCTGTAAACAAGGCTATTTTTACTTACTCCTTTTTTAATTTGGATGCCTTTTATTTCTTCGTAATTCTTCTGGCAAGGACTTCCAGTGTTTTGTTGAATAACCGTGGTGAAAGTGAGCATCCTTGTCTTCTTTCAGATCTTAGAGGAAAGCCTTTTAATTTATCTCCATTCAGTATGATTTTATCTGTGGATTTGCCATATATGACATTTATCATATTGATATGTATGTGTATCTTTCCTCTATATCAAGTTTATTGAGGGTTATCACAAAGCAACATTGAATTTTATTGAATGCTTTCTCAACATCTATTGAAATGATCAGATGGTTTGTATTCTTAGTTCTGTTAATGAGAAGTATCATATTTATTGATTTGCATATGTTGAATCATCCTTGAATCCCTGGGATGAATCCCACTTGATCATGGTAAATGATCATTTTAATGTGTTGTTGAATTTGGTTTGCTAGTGTTTGAGAATTTTTGCATCTGTATTCACCAATAATATTGGCCTGTGCATTTTCTTTTTTGCTGTGTTCTACTCTGGTTTCATTATCAGGGTAATGCTGGTCTCGTAAAATGATTTTGGAAGTGTTCCCTCCTCTTCAGAGCTTTGAAAGCTTTGAGTAGAATATGGTATTAGTTCTTCTTTAAATGTTTGGTAGAACTCAGGAGTGAAGCTTTTAGGTCCTGGGCTTTTCTTTGATAGAAGACTTTTTGTTACAACTTTAAACTTGTTTCCTGTTATTGATTGGTTTGTAGAGATTTTCTGTTTCTTCATGGTTCAATCTTGATAAGTTGTCTATATCCAGGAATTTATCTATTGCTTCTAGGTTTTCTGATTTGTTAGTGTATAGTTGTTCATAATAATCTTTAATGATTCTCTGTATGTTTCCCTTTTTGTTTCTGACTTTAGGGTCTTCTCTCTTTCTTAGTTATTCTAGCTAATGCTCTTTTCTAGTCTTTTGAAGTACATAATTAGATTGTTTATTGAAGTTTTTCTATTTTTTAATATAGGCTTTTTTTTACCATAAACTTCCCTCTTTGTACTGCTTTTGCTGTATCCTACAGATTTGAATATTTTGTGTTTTCATTTTCAATCTGTTGACCCATTGGTCATTCAGCAGCATGTTATTTATTTAATTATATTGTGCTTGTATAGTTTCCAGTGTTCCTCTTGTTATTGATTTCTAGTTTTACTTCATTGTGGCCAGAAAAGATACTTGATATAACTTCTCTTTTGTTGAATTTGTTCAGACTTGTTTTCTGGTCTAAGATATGGTCTACTCTGGATAATATACCATGTACTGATGAAAATAATGTGTATTCTGCAGCAGTTGGATGAAATGTGCTACAAATGTTAGGTAGGCCTATTTGGTCTAGTGTGTAGTCTAACTCTGATGTTTCTTTATTGATTTTCTCTCTGGATGGTCTTCCCATTACTGAGAGTGGCTGTTCAAGTCCCCTACTATTATTTTATTGCAGTTGTCTCTCCTTTTAGATCTATTAATGTTTGCTTGGGAGGTCCAGTGTTGAGTGCATAGACATTTATAATTGTTATATCCTCTTGCTGTATTGACCTCTTTATTATCATATAGTGATCTTTTTTGTCTCCTTTTACAGTCTTTGATTTGTAGTCTATTGTATCTAACATAAGTATGGTTTCTCCTGGTCTTTTTTGGTTTCTGTTTCATGGAATATCTATTTCCATCCCTTTTCTCTAAGTTTATGTGTGTCTTCATATGTGAAGTAGGTTTCTTGTACACAGCATATACCCGAGTGTTGTTTCTTTAAGCACTCAGCCATTCTATGCCTTTTAATTGGAGAATTGAATCCATTTACATTCAGTGTTCTTATTGATAAAAAAAAACTGCTGCCATTTTGTAGCTTGTTTTCTGGCTTTTTTGTAACTCGAGCCTTCCTTTCTTCCTTTCTTACTGTCTTCATTTGCGGTTAAATGATTCTTTCCAGTAGTATGTTTTAATTCATTGCTTTCTATTTTTAGTGATTACAGATTTTTGTATATTGGTTACCACAAGGCTTACAAAAATATCTTATAGATAGAAAAAGTTATTTTAAAGAAATAACTTATCTTCAATGACAGAGAAATGAATAGAAGCAAATAAAGACAAAAATTTTTATATTTTAATACCATCTCCTCACATTTTGATTTTATGCTGTTTCAATTTACATATTTTTATATTGCCTATCTCTTAACAGATTGTTGTGGCTATTATTGTTTTTGATAAGTTTATCTTCGGGGCTTCATATAGTGTTATGAGTGGATTGCACCTCACAATTGCAGATTAGAGTATTCTGAATTTGTCAACATGCTTACTTTTACTAGTAGGTTTTATACCTTCAGTTGTTTTATGTTTGCATATTAGTGTTTTTTTCTTTCAGATTGAAAGATAGAACCTTTTTTATAAGACAGATTCAGTGGTGGTAAATTCTCAAGCTCTTGTTTTTCTGGGAAAGACTTTATCTCTTTTTATATTTGAAGGATAGCTTTTCTGGATACAGTATTGTTGGATAGCAGCTTTTTTTCTTTCAGCACTTTGGAAAAGTCATACGCTCTCCTGGACTGTATGTTTTCCATTAAGAAGTGAGTTTCCATCCTAATTGGAGACTGTGTGTGTGTATATATATATATGTGTGTGTGTATATATATATACGTATATATATACATATGTGTATACATATGTGTGTATATATGTATATATGTATATATATGTGTGTGTATATATGTATATATACGTATATATATATATGTATATACGTATATATATATATTCTGTTTCTTTTCTCTTGCTCCTTTCAGGATTCTCTCTTTGTCCTTGACCTTTGAGAGTTTGATGCCTTGCAGTAGTCTTATTTGAGTCAAATGTGTTTGGTGTTATCTGACCTTCCTGTATCTAGATTTACCTCTTTCTCAAGTTTTGAAATGTTTTCTCTTATTGTTTATTTGAATAAGCTTTCTCCCCCTTGCTATTGCTCAATGCCCTCTTGAACACTAATTCTCAGATTTGATCTGTAGAGGAAATTTGCTATACCTTATAGATAATCTTTATTCCTTTGCTTTTTATCTATTTTTATCCTTTGTGTGCTTTCCAATAGCCTGCCTGTGACCTCACTGATTCCATTCTGCTGTTGAGATACTCTAATGAATTTTTCAGTTCGGCATATATATTTCTCAGCTCAAAGATTTCTGTTTCATTTTTTATTTACTTCAATCTCTTTGTTAAGTTTCTCTGATAAATTTCCGAATTGCTTTTCTGTTTTCTTTTGGACATAACTGAATTTGTTTTAAACCACTAGTTTAAATTTTTGGTCAGAAAGTTTACATACCATAGTCTCCTTAGGGTCAGTCACTGGTTCCTTGCTTTGTCCATTTATGAAGGTCATGGGTCTGTGTTTGCTGTTGTTTTTTGTGGATATACATCTATATATTTGCATTGACAAAATAGATGCCTATTCCAGTCTTCTTTATCTGGATTATGTTGGTTTTTATTGGGTATTTTGCTTAGAGTTTTGTTTTGCCTTTTTTTTTTTTTTTTTTTGTAATTTACCCATCGATTTTCTTTCCTTTTTTTCCCACTAAGATCTCTTTTAGGCACTAAATGGTGCCATAATCCCAGGTTTGCCTCCATTGTAGTTAACAATCAAAGTGCCATCTCTTTTGGATGGGGAAGTCCAAAAGGGCTTATTCCAGTAATGTGAGAAGGCTGGCAATGGGTTCATGTGCAGGGGCCCCATGGAACACTTTTTGTATTGCATGCTGCTGCTGAGTAGCCACTGACTTGGCATCTCCTTTGTGTGAGTTACAGAGCAGAGTGGGGTTAGGGATGGTAATTCCAACTCCTGTCTTTATCTCTGGCTATCTTTAGGGATATTTCTCCTTTCGGGTACTCCCAAGGCTTCCTATGGGTTGAGACAGAGACAGATCTCCTGCCAGGGATCCCAATATGGTGGGAAAGCTGGTTGTTCACCTAAATCTCATTTTTCCTGTGTAGAAACTGTGACTGGGGGGACATTTTTCACATACTTGTTGCTGGACAGATTATGATGAGGGGCATTGCAGATATAGATATGCAATTATTTTATTATCTGCTTGAGGTTTTCTCATTTCTCTGTGGCCCCAAGAACTGTCTCCTCCTAATATTTGAGTTATGGGATAATACTGGTGACAATCTCAGTTCTGTATATTGATTTTTATTTTTCATGTGAGAGAGTGAAGTCAGCTTCCTTTTCTATAGTGCCATTTTTGAACTGGAAGTTTTCTAGTTAACTGATTTCTGACAATAGAGCATACTGATTTTTGACAATATAATGGAACAAAGACACTTTTCAACCAGTGATGCTAGAACAACTACACATCCACATGTTAAAAAATGAATTTAGATGCAGACCTTATACCCTTCACAAAAATTAACTCAAAATGGGTCAGAAACCTGAATATGAAATGCAAAACTATATAACATAAATACCTAGAAAATAACATAGGAGAAAACCTAGGTGATTCTTGGGTATGGTGACTTTTTAGATTTACACCAATGGAATGATCCATAAAAGAAGAAATTAATAAACTTCATTAAAATTAAAAGCTTCTGCTTTGCAATAGACAATGTCAAGAGAATAGGAAGACAAGTCACAGACTGAGAGGAGATATTTTCAAAAAGCTTATATGATAAAGGACTGCCCAAAACATACAAAGATCTCTTAAAACTCAGCATTATGGAAACAAGAAACATAATTTTAAAAATAGTGAGCATACAAGTCAGCAAAGATATACAAATATCAAGTAAGCCTATGGAAAAGATGTTCAATATCATACATCATTAAGGAATTATGACTTAAAACAAGATACCTATTAGAATGGCTAAAATCCAAAACACAGATAATACCAAGTGCTGGTGAGGATGTGGAACAATAGAACCTCTCATTCATTGCTAGTGGGAATGCAAAGTGGTGCAGCCTACTTGGACGAGAAGTCGGCAGTTTCTTATAAAACTACACATACTATAACTATGAAATTCAGCAAAAATACTCCTTGATATTTACCAAAATTAACTGAAAAAATACGTCTGCACATGTTATATAATCACAAAGGTTAATAGCACCTTTATTAATAGTTCACAAAACTTAGAAGCAACCAAAATGTCCAGTTTGCAGATGACATGATTGTATATTTAGAAAACTCCATTGTCTTAGCCCAAAATCGTAAGCTGATAAGCAACTTCAGCAAAGTCTCAGGATACAAAATCAATTTGCAAAAATCACAAGCATTCCTATACACCAATAATAGACAAACAGAGAGCCAAATAATGAGTGAACTCCCAATCACAATTGCTACAGAGAGAATAAAATACCTAGGAATCCAACTTACAAGGGATGTGAAAGACCTCTTCAAGGAGAATTAGCAACCACTGCTCAACGAAATAACAGAGGACACAAACAAATGGAAAAACATTTCATGCTCATGGATAGGAAGAATCAATATCATGAAAATAGCCATACTGCCCAAAGTAACTTAGAGATTCAATGCCATCCCCATCAAGCTACCATTGACTTTCTTCACAGAATTAGAAAAAACTACTTTAAAGTTCATATGGAACCAAAACAGAGCCTGCAGAGCCAAGACAATCCTAAGACAAAAGAACAAAGCTGGAGGCATCACGCTACCTGACTTCAAACTATGCTATAAGGCTACAGTAACCAAAACAGCATGGTACTGGTACCAAAACAGAGATATACACCAACTGAACAGAACAGAGCCCTCAGAAATAATACCACACATCTACAACCATCAGATCTTTGACAAACCTGACAAAAACAAGAAATGGGGAAAGGATTCCCTATTTAATAAATGGTGTTGGGAAAAGTGTCTAACCATATGCAGAAAACAGAAACTGGAACCCTACCTTACACCTTATACAAAAATTAACTCAAGATGGACTAAAGACTTAAACGTAAGACCTAAAACCATAAAAATCCTAGAAGAAAACATAGGCAATACCATTCAGGACATAGGCATGGGGAAAGACTTCATGACTAAAACACCAAAAGCAATGGCAACAAAAGCCAAAATTGACAAATGAGATCAAATTAAAGAGCTTCCGCACAGCAAAAGAAACTATCATCAGAGTGAACAGGTAACCTACAGAATGGGAGAAAATCTTTGCAATCTATCTATCTGACAAAGGGCTAATATCCAGAATCTACAAATAACATAAACAAATTTATGAAAAATCAAACAGCCCATCAAAAGTGGGTGAAGGATATGAACAGACACATCTCAAAAAAAGACATTTATGCAGCCAATACACATATGAAAAAAAGCTCATCATCACTGGTCACTACAGAAATGCAAATCAAAATCACAATGATATACCATCTCACGCCAGTTAGAATAGCAATCATTAAAAAGTCAGGAAACAACAGATGCTGGAGAGGATGTGGAGAAATAGGAATGCTTTCACACTGTTGGTGGGAGTATAAATTAGTTCAACCATTGTGGAAGACAGTGTGGCGATTCCTCAATGATCTAGAACTAGAAATACCATTTGACCCAGCAATCCCATTACTGGGTATATACCCAAGGATTATAAATCATTCTACTATAAAGACACATGCACACATATATTTGTTGCGGCACTGTTCACAATAGCAAAGAGTTGGAACCAACCCAAATGCCCATCAATGATAGACTGGATAAAGAAAATGTGGCACATATATACCATGGAATACTATGCAGCAATAAAAAAGGATGAGTTCATGTGCTTGGCACGGACATGAATGAAGCTGGAAACCATCATTCTCAGCAAACTAACAGAAGAACAGAAAACCAAGCACCACATGTTCTCACTCATAAGTGGGAGGTGAACAATGAGAACACATGGACACAGGGAGGGGAACATCACACACCAGGGCCTGTCAGTGGTTGGAGGGCTAGGGGAGGGATAGCATTAGGAGAAATACCTAATGTAAATGACGGGTTGATGGGTGCAGCAAACCACTACGACACGTGTATACCTACGTAACAAACTTGCATGTTCTACGTACGTATCCCAGATCTTAAAGTATAATAATTTTTTTAAAGAAAAAGATATATAGTAAGATAAAATCATGCTTCTACTTAGGCTTTTGTGAGGGCAAAAGGGCTGTGCTTCTAAACTCTATGACAAAAACAGGTCTCTCTTCAAATTAAAATTTCAAAGCACTGTATTTTTCCCTGACAAGATGTCATGATAAACTTCCCTATCTTACAGTATGTGATTATTTTATATTCAAGGAAAATTTGATTTTACTTAGTATCTGGCTATCCTCTCCAATTGACTTTGAATTTCCATTGCTAGTGGCTATTTAATATCTGACAGCAATTCATTGTCTCTGCCTATCCTCCCTAATGGTTCACTTTGTAAATGTAGTAGTTTAAAGGGCGATTTTCCTGAAAACTTCCATCTTTACACCTAGTTTCATTTTTTTTTCATTTCTCTGCTCATTCTAAAGAGGCTCTCTTAGCTCTAAAGCAGAGATTCTCAATCTCAGTGTTAATGACGTGGGGCTGGATAATTCTATGTTGTGAGGGAGCTGTCCCAGCACCATAGGATATTTAGCTGCATTCCTGGCCTCTACCTACTAGATGCTGGTAACATTCCCCTCATCTGTGACAACCAAAATTATCTTTATACATGGCCAAATATTCCCTAGGTAGAAAAAAAAATGTCCATATCTTAGGTTCACAAAGATTTCAATACCATCTTGGGCTTTCATTCTGTATATTATTAACCAAAATAATGGAAAATATGGAGCTTTACCACATTCTTTGTCTCACCCTACCAATGACCACCTAGGAGCATAAACTGTCATTAATCATGAGTTATTCATCACTACATTTTGCTGAGAGTCCTTCTGTAATTTTGCACTCAACAATGCATAGCCAGGTGAAATGCTCCTAAGACTATAGAGAGAGATGTCTCAACTCACCTAAAGTGGCTTCGCTTTACCTTATAGACTTTATTGAATCTGTTGCTTAATCATCTATTGTTAAACTGACTAAATCTATCTTTGATGCGTCTTAAACCAATCCTTCTAACTGATAAAATGTATACGTAGAATACATCACTTTCTTTTATTTACGCTCACTTTTGTTTGAGAATTTTAATCAAAAGTTCTAGTGAAATACTATATATCCAAGAATTTAAAAAATTTTTCATTTAAAAGGTCAGCATATTGTCCTTCACGTATGAGATATATATTGCAATGAGAACAATCTTCCAAAGGATACCTCTTATTAATTTATAGTAAGAATATCAAATATTTTAGATATAACCCATATTTTAGAAGGCCCACACAAATGTTTTATTGAAAATAATAATTTGTGATACATCACACACGTAGCCTAAGACTGTTGAATATCATCCAATCTAAGTCAAGTAAAAATAAAGGTATTACTTCTTCTTACCTTTTTAAGCAAGTATTCATAAAGTTCAATTTTCACCTTGTAAATTTATTATAACAAAACCTGAATAGATCAAATTTTTTATAATTAAGTACATTCAGCATAAATTGTGATAACTGATTGTAATCTACTTCACTATAGCTGACGTTATTCAGTCATATAGCAAGAAGCTTGTTAGATCATGATGGCCAACTACTTTGATATAGCTAATTAGGTGAAAAGTAATTATAAAATTATGTTTGTGAAGACTTTATTAGAATGGGATTGGGTCGCCATTTGGCCTCTGGGTACTGTTTGATGTCAAGGCCAACTGATCTCTTAGCAAAATGAGTAGTGAACATATCTTTCAAAATAAAAAACTAATATTATAACACACTTCCTTATGAAATTCTTGTAAGATCAAGTGTGCTTAAGGGAATAAAGTAAAAGAATATTTGTAGCCAGAACTTCAGAAAGCCTATGCTTATGATATATGTTATATGTTATCTCCTTGATTCTTGAATGTTGTAGTTGGAGTCTGTACTTTCTGGGACAATACTGCACTATAAAGTGTTTTCTGGATATTTTATCTTTCAGCAAATTAGATTAGACCATTGCCTCCATGGGAATATTTTAGAGCATACAAAAGACCCCTCCAAATCCTGATTTACCTACTGATTTTAATTTCATTTTATTTAACTTGAGGTTTTCTTTCCAATTAAAATCAGAGACTGCCTAAGTTTGTGAGCTATGTGAAAGCAAGTTTTGACATAGCAAAGAGAATTTCAAGTGGCTAGAAAAGGTATGTGGATTCGAATAAGAGTTAAACATGAACAGAGACTGGGAAAACCAGAGTGCTTAAGAAACAAGTGGCCCATTTCACAATTCTACTAGATGTCCATACAGATACCAAGGAAAAGGTACACATTTTGTTGCTAGACTTTTTTGATGTGTTAATCTCCCACAGTAATTTATGGGTTATTTGATGAATTAATCTCTCCAAATAATTTTACATGGCATTTATACTTACAAACAACTTTCAAGTCATATTTTAGCAGGAATTTATAACAAGTGCCAAGGGTATTTAATATCAGACTCACACTTCAACATTTAAGAACTGAAAGAAAATTCAAGTGCCCTTCCCAGTATATTATAAAGTTCAGTTAATGAGCTAGTATTAAAATCATCAAGGAAATATTTAGTGTTCATTAATATTGATGCAGCAGTCACTCTCATTGTCCATGAGCCAGTGGCTTGGCAGGTAGAATTTAGGAAGGAGAGCTTCCATCACATTTTCTGTATTCTCTTTGACTTCTTTTAAATATTATCTTGAAATGTTATAAAAATTCAAGAGTACTTGTACAACATGGTGACCACAGTTAATAACAATATACTGCATTATTGAAACATTCTAAGAAAGTAGATTAAATATTCTCACCACCAAAATGATATCTATGTGAAGTAACGTATAGTCAATTAGCTAGATTTAGCTGTTCCACAATGTATATATTCTTCAAAACATCATGATGTTTATAAGAATTACAATTTTGTCAATGTAAAAATCAATCAATAAATGAAATAAATACAGTAAAAATAACTTTTAAAATAACATATTATAATGACAACTTTCATATCAGCATCCTACATTATAAATTTCATATTTTCTTTAATAACTAAATATAGATTATGGAAGCTAAGTATGAACTTACTGAATTTATATCAACCTTTTGTATAATAGAGAGTCCAAGGCTATACTACCTAATGGAGAATAGTAATTCATTCTACCTCCCCAGTGTTAAAGTTTAGGAGCTAAAGAGAGCTATACTAACTTGCAACTGCTTTGATTATTCCCTGTGTACGGGAAGTCTCATTCTGACTATATTGACACAAATGCTTTGCAGAATTCAAGTGATTTGACTTAGCAAATTAGAAAGATGTTATGTATTAAGTTATCATGATGATCTACGGTTCCTAAGTGAATTCACCAGGAAAAAAAATCTGCAAAAGTCAAACTTTCTAAAGACTCTAGGTTTTAATTTCAGCTATCTAAAAATCTGCAGACTGGGAGGAAAAAATGTAACTTTAACCAGACATTGTTAATAAGCAACTGCTCTGTTAGGTAAACATTATAAAGATAACCTACCTACCCGATCTTTGGTTCTGACTCTCCTTAACCCTTAAGAAGTTACATCTTTATCTAAGCAGATAGTTACAATAGTATTATTACATTACTAATAATTATCACAATATTTATAATTAGTAATAATTATTACAATAGTAATATTTCATTAAATTCCTAGAAAATTAGCCCTTTAAACACATCAAAATAAAAAGTTAAAGCTCTAGGTTTGTTAAAGAAAAAGAAACATTAGGAATGAAGAGTTAGAACATGACATATTATTGTAAATTGAGCATCTTATATACACCCTTAAAATCCCCTAGAAACTAATTTATAAATATAGCAAGATCAAGAAAATGTATGTTTGATGTGTTATTTCCTTTTATGTAGGACTTTGAGGGTTTTTTTCCTTTAAAGTAAGTCACCTATTACTTAATAGTATACAACTCTTCTAGGTCAATAGTAAGTTTAATGTTTTAGGCTTTCTGATAATGAAAATTGGCTGTATCTAATTTTCTGCTCCCCATCCTAGACTACTCTCAAGCAAACAGTAAATTAGCTCTTCTAATCTTGCTCTTTATTTAACTGAGAGTTGTGGCAATGCATAGACTGAAGTGAAAGATGGACCAGCCTCAGCATGAAGAAAGGAGGAAGCTTAAGTATCTGACATTGTTCTTTACAACCCTTCACCCTTCCTGAAACTGGCTTCAAATTATTTGTTAAATACAAATTCGTATGAAAAATAAAATTACATAAAGGCTGAAAACAGTCTGCAATGTATAATCATATCAATCTACTTATGGAATTTTACATTTACTATGGTGAGTTATATTGTTATGTTTACGTATAAGGATTTTGAACAATCTAATATTTATCCTAAAAAGAAATATCAGAATGGAAAATTGAAAAATAAATAGAAGGGCAATGCAAAATGGATGTCACTGTGAAGAAACGTTAAAGAATAAGTCATTTTAAACCAATCATTAGTATATAAAATGTATTTTATATAGTCATTTTAAACCAATCATTAGTATATAAAATGTATTTAGATATTTAGATATTTTACTATTTGTTTTTATCTCCCAGAGATGACCAAAAATTTAGTTTCAAATGTATCTCACCTATATCTCAGAGGAATAAATCACATTTTGTCTGATAGAATGTTATTCTTTAATGCTAACCTTACTTGTTCTGGGGAAGAAGCTACACACTGGAAGCAATTTTCAAATATGCAAATATTTTATTCCAATGCTTTCCAACCTTTTTTCCAACTTCCATTATTTGTTTAATGACCTTATTATTTAATGACCTCTAGACAAGCTAAATTTCATGGAATGAACTCTCTCCACGCCACATGGAACAGAAGGACCACCAGCAAACTTCTGCTCTAATTCCAGAGTCCAAAGTTGGTATATATAATGAAATAATTAGTTTAAAAACCTCTAAAACTTTGGGGTCATTTGTGGTACAGCAATAGGCAATAGATAATAGGCAACAATGGAAACTTTTAAAAATTAGACCCTCAATTTAAACTTATAGCTTATTTTCAGTTCCTGTCATTTTAAAAAAGATTAAACAGATGTAGTATATTTTAGAGAAGATTTTGATGAACATTTCATTATCTTAAATTGGTAAGTCAAGCTGCCTTGACTTCAGCTAATATTTTACAAAGTCTTCTAAGATATCATTGTAGATGGCAAATTATGGGTTCAAAAGATGCATTGATATGTAGAGCCATGATTTGTTAAAGAATAATAAATACCCAAAGGTTGTTGATCAATTACTTAGTTTCAATCTTACAGAATACCTATAATGGAATGCTACAGGATATTCTGTCTCTGTTCTATTAATATTTTTCATGAATTATTATGAAATAAAATTTATCAAATAAGAATAATGTTTGGAGGAATATGTAATACAATAAATGCTATGGAAATTAAACAATCTGAAACATTATACTGAAACAGGATAATTTTTTCTTTTTTGCTATGGTAAAAAAAACCATAATATTAAATAGTCATTTTTATGTGTAGAGGTCTGTGGTGTTCAATATATTCACATAGTTGTAAAATATCTCTATGCATCTAGCAAAACCAAAACTCTATACCCTCGAAACACTAACTCTTCTTTCCTTCTCCCGCCATCCCTTGCCAACCACAATTCTACTTTCTCTTCTCTGAGTTTGTCTTTTTGTGACTGGTTTATTTCACTTAGCATAATATCCTCAAGGTTCATTCATCCATGTTGTAGGATGTGTTAGAATACTTTCTTTTTAATGCTGGATAATACTCCATTGAATGTATATAACACATTTTCTATTTCTCCACATCCTCGCTATACTTGTTGTTTTCCATTCTTTAGATAGTAGCCATCTAATGGGTGTAAAACAGGATAAACTTTTAAGTGTATAGACAAAGAGGGAAGCTACTTGGTTTCCTGGCACTTCAACTAAGTCTTGTTGACCATAAGTTTATATGAGTCAACAGTGTAATGACTGCTACAATGCTGCTTTATTTTTACGCTACATGGATATAACGGTAGTGTTTAAATCATGGTAGGTAAGACTTTCACTCTTCTCTGAACTGTTTACAACATGTAAGAGCATTGTTTTCAATTCTGAATACCATATTATAAGACACAAAGTAGAATATGTTCTGAGAAATTCTCTCCAGATGAAGGATATGGGGATTTTTAATTAAGAGAAACAACTGAAGAAACTAGGAACCATATTGGGCAGAAAAGAAGCCCAAAGGGAGCTGTAATAATTATGTCAGATATTTAAAATGATGTCAAACAAGAGACTATCTGGTCTTACTACTCCAAAAATCAAAACGAAGTCTAAAAGACAGAAGAACCTAATGAATCTTCTAACGTTTGAAAGTGTCCAACAATGGAATGGGTTCATTTAGCATGCTGATTCTCCCTTCTTCAGTTGATAGTCCAAGGAGAGAGTCAATGATGATTTTCAAGGATATTATAAAAAGGAAATCACACTGTTATGGAATCTAAACTACCTTCTGCTCAACATGCCATGATTACACTTTAAATAGTGGAATAAAAGTAATTTTGAATTCTGTAAAACTAACCTGTTTCCTAGTTCTACCAAGGAGTATATGTGTGCAAACACTCACACATAGATAGATTTTTTGTTTGGTTTTGATCTCTTCATAACCATTGTCAATTACCTGTCCTCCAAATCTCTTTCACGCTCCTCATGTCAAATAATTATCTAAAAGCATCACAGAATGATTAATGGAAAAGAGGAGTCAACACTAGTTCCCATTAATATTACCCACATTCACAACTTTTGAAATTTGATGGATGGTTTTTGTCATTTTCAAGATGTCTTTAAACAAGTTATCTTTGATAAAATGCATTTTTCCAAATGCTGCTGACACGTAGCATATTGCAATTAAAGTCAGCTGTTGGAAATGTCTGTTGATTGCTTATAATATATATGCCCATATATATCATATATATGGACATAAATAAAGTATAGGCAATGTTTGATTTATAGCACTGAGAATTCCTATAAAATCTCATCAAAATGTTTAGCAATGTTGCATCAAGTAAAAACCAACCACTTACGAGAAAATTTGAAATGTGACATATTTTTAAAGTTTTTCTTGGTGGGGGGAAACAATCAGGATAAATGTGTATGTGCTGGTAGTGATTCAAAAAATAGGGAAAATATCTATGCTATTCATGCAGAGGATGAAACTGGGTAAAAATTTTTAGGCTCCTCTCCTTATTTCCTCACTAATCAGTTTTACCCCAGACAGGTCATTGCTTGAATGGGTCAAAGAGGCACACTTATGTTAGGGAATTTATCTATTTTTCTTTTGTGTGCCGTAAGGAAGAGGGCACCATTTATACATATAGCCATGTGTGATCCATTAATATTAACCTTTGTATGTGCAGAGGAATTCAATTTCATAGATCATATGTTTGAATCAAGCAATTTCAGTGATTATACTTGGCTGATTCATATTCTCAAATTATCACCGAAAGTTCAACAAAACCTACTAAACTTTTGAGGAGAAATATCTATTTTATACCACCATTAATAACTGAAACTCCTATTTCTCCTAACAGTTAATTTTACAGATGTGAGTAAAAGCATAACATTTCTCCATGATTTATCTCTACTTTGAACTTGTAGTTCTCCAGATATTTTGGCCTTGTTTAAATTGGCTTTTATTTGTTATTTTACGTTGAGGGTGAGGGAACAGGTAAGGCTAGCTACAAAGAAACATTTTGGGGTGATGGGAAGTTTTGCCTCTTAATTAATGAGGTGGTTACATAAACATATTTGCACCATTGTTCAATTGTGTCATTGCTTATCAACCTGTATATTTTAAATAGACACATTTTACTATGTATAAATTGACCTCCAAATATTTTTTCAACTTTTATTTTAGGTATGTGGGGTACATGTGCAGGTTTGTTGTGTGGGTAAATTGCATGTCATTGGAGTTTGGTGTATGAATGATCCCATTACCCAGACAGTGAGCATAATGCCCAACAGTTGTTATTTAAAAAAAAAAAAAAATCTTTGCCATTCCATTTAATGCTACAGCCTTAATTTTAGAAATCACTTTTTAATTTTTATGTGGCCTTTGGTTTTATAATTTCAGCATGTACAGCTTCAGATACAGTTCAAAAGTCACATTACTTAAACATTGAAGGTAGTAAGGCTAGAAGATCAAGTATGAAAATCCTGGGGAAAAAAAAAACATATCCAAGCAGCCAAAGAACAAAATGGGGGAAAAAAAATACTAAGCAACTAAAAATTCCCAATAAGAAAGAAAAATGGACAGAATTCCAGAGGATTGCTGCTCACAAAACATATTTTTTTTCCGTTTTTGAAAACTTCATGTTTCTTTAAAAGGATTTTTCTACCTGGAATCTTCTGACTAATGTCTTATTCTTCTAGGTCCTATTAATTAAGTTCAAAACAGCTCACATTTTCTTATGGAATCCTCTCTAAGAGTTTTTGATAAATGGAAAGTAATTTTTTGAAAAAAGAATATATTTCATCATAACGTATTGATAGTTAAGAGTGGATTTGTTACAATGGAAGAGTATTAGCCATGAAAAGGAACGGAGTACTGATACATGCTACAGATGGGATGAACTTCAAAAAAATATGCTAAACAGTCAGACACAAAAGGCCACATACTACATGATTCCATGTATATGAAACATCCAGAATAGGTAAATTCATAGAAAAAGCAGATTAGTAGTTGCTAAGGGTTGGTGGAAGGGAGGAATGGGAAGTGAAGTCTTAAAGGGCTTTATTTTGTGATGATGAAAATGTTTGGGGTCTATATAAAGGTAATGTTTGCACAACACTGTGAATGTACTAAATGCCCCTGAATTTTAAATGATTAATTTTATGTTTCGAGAATTTCACCTCGATTTTTAAAAAAGAATGAATTTGTTGTTTATGTGTTCTGAATATGCAGTAATGTTTCATTAAATACTTTAATGAAATACAGTTGATCCTCCTTATTTGCAGATTCCATATTTGCAAATTTGCCTACTTGCTAAAATTTATTTTAACACTAAAATCAATATTCATGTAGATTTCTTGGTCTTAACAGACATGCACAGAATAGCAAAAAATCTCAGTTGCCGGATGTGCACGTTACCGGCTAAATTTGAACAAAGTGGTGCTCTACTTTCTTGTTCCAGTTCTCGTTCTGTAAAGAAGTATAGATTTCTCAGTCTATCTGGAGCCCTACTTTTTAGACTTTTGTGCTTTTCCTTTGTTATTTCACTGTTTGGAATGACCCCAAGCATGATGCTGAAATGCTGTCTAGCATCTTAAGTGCAAGAAGGCTGTGATGTGCCTTACTGAGAAAATACCTGTGTTAGATACGCTTCCTTCAGGCTTGAGTTACAGTGCTGTTGGCCATGAGTTCAATGGTACTGAATCAACAATGTATATTAATCAGGTATCTTTAAACAGAAACACATATACAACAAAGTTATGAATTGATCTGTTGCTGAGAATGTTGTGACAAAAGGCTCACAGTCACCTAGCCGTGTTTTTCCCTTAGGAGCATTGTTTCAGTATTCATGAATTCAGTGTTTGAGCCGACTTTGTTGAACATAACTCCCCAAATAATGAGAATCGACTGTGTATTAAAACAAATATATAGATGTCAGTAAATATTGGTCCATAATAAAAACAAAACAGAATTTTCTTATACATAAAAATTCATAACATACTCAGGGTCCTGTAAAATAAAATAGAGTACCACATTTTAGTAAGAAACAAATCAAGATTTGAGTTAATTTCTATATAGGTAGCTATGAAATGTGCATATAAACAAATGCTTCAGTTAAGAAAAACATGGTATAAAGCATACAAGACATAATAAGTTTGAAGGATTTCTAATTTATGCTATAGCATGCACTAAAAGCAATTATTTCATTTTTAATATTAATACACAGCAGCAATATACACAAAATGAATGAATTCTAATATATACTACTATTTCAATAAAATATCACTACATAACAGGAAAGAAAAAATATAAAAGTATATCCATCATAGAGGCATCTAGTTTCTTCAACCTCAGAAACTAGAAATCACCATTTTCAAAGCTATGTAAATCATTATTCTCAAAACTTAATATTTTAATGTTATTAAATTAATTTTAATAACTCTGCTTGAATCACATTGATTCTCTTCATTACTGGTAGCCACTGTATTAGAAATTGAGGCTCTATTTGAAAAATAAATCCTATTTAATAGCAACAAGGGCATTATTGTGTACAAATTTTTGAAATTATTTCACCCAGTGTCTTTTTTTTATTATTCTGTATATTTCTGGTAGTCTAACACTGTACTCCTATGATACTTTTAAAAATTTATTACCATTTTGATTGAAAAATCATAATCCTATAGATTTATAAAGTACAATGAGATTTCATATATGTGTATAAATTGACATGATTACACCAAGCTTTCAACATATCACCTCACTTATCTATCATTTTATTATGGTGAGACATTCGAAATTTACCCTCTTAGTTATTTTGAAATATATAATACAGTTGTCCCTCCATATCCTTGGGAGATTGGTTCTAGAACCTCTCAGAGATATCAAAATTTACAAATGCTCAAGTCCAGAATGTAAAATGGTATAGTATTTGCATGCAACTTATGCACATCCTACCATATACTTTAAATCATCTCTATATTACTTATAATACCTAATACAATGTAAATTCTATGTAAATAATTGTTATATTGTATCATTTAGGAAATGACAAGAAAAAAGTCTGTACATATTTAATACAGATGCAATTTTTTTTCTGAATATGTTTGATCCTCAGTTGGTTGAATCCAGGAATGCAGAACCCACATATCTGAAGGGGAAGGGTGGACTGTACATTATTATTGACTATAGCCACCCTGCTAAGTAACAGATCTCAAAACTTATTGTTCATGTATCTGAAACTTCGTCCTCTTTGATCAGCAACTGCAGGTTCCCTTCCCTTCCACTCTCCCAGCCCTTTGTAACCATCATTTTAATCTCTATTTCTGTGAGTTCAGCTTTTTTACATTTCACATATAAGTGAGATCATGTGGTATTTCTTTCTGTGCATGGCTTATTTTATTTAGCATAATATCCTCCAGATTTATCCATATTGTTGCAAATGACAGGATTTTCCTATTTTTTTAAGGCTGAATATTATTCCATTGTGTATATATACCGTTGTTTTATATATCTTTGTTTTATCCGTTGATGGACACCTAGTTTGTTTCCATAATTTGGCTATTGTGAATGCTGCTGCAATTAACATGGAAATGCAAATATCCCTTCTACATATTAATTTCAGTTCCTTTTGACATATCCCTAGAAGTATGACAAATGAGTTGCATGGTAGTTCTATTTTTAGTTTTTTGAGAAGCCTCTATGGTGTTTTCCATAACGTCTGTACTAATTCACATTCTCGTCTATAGTATGTAAGAGTTCGCTTTTCTCTACATCCTCTCCAATACTTATCTTTAATCTTTTTGATAAAAGCCTCTGAGGTTACATGTCATTGTGGTTTAATTTACATTTCCCTAATTAGTTATGCTAAGCATCTTTTCACATATGCATTGGCCATTTGTATGTCTTCTTTGAAGAAATTACTGTTTAGGTCTTTTGCCCATGTTTTAATCAAGTTGTTTTCTGACTATTGAGTTGTTTGAGTTATTTATATATTTTGGATCTTAACCCCATGTCAGATACATGGTTTGCAAATATCTTCTATGCTGTGAGTTATCACTTCACTTTGTCAGTTGTCTTATTTGCTCTGCAGAAGCTTTTCGGTTTGATGCTCTACCATTTGTCTATTTTTGCTTTTGTTGCCTGTGCTTTGGGTTCACATTCAAAAAAATCAGTGCCCAAATGTCACAGAGCTTTTCTTCTAAGTTTTCTTCTGGTCCTTTTACAACTTCAGATATTATGTTTAAGTCTTTAGTCCATTTTGAGTTGATTTTTGTATATAAAGTGAGACAAGTGTCTAAATTTCCTTCTTCTACATGTAGATATCCAGTTGTCTCAACACTATTTATTGAAGAAACTGCCCTCTCCCCATTATGAGTTCTTTGTTGAAAACCAATTGATCATTAATACATGAATTTATTTCTTGGCCCTATAGTCTCTTCCATTGGTCTATGTCTGTGTTTTTATGTTTTGTAGAATATTTGATGTCAGGTATTGTGATGCCTCCAGGTTTATTCTTTTGCTCAAGATTCCTTTGACTATTTAACGTCTTTTTCTCTTTTATACAAATTTTAGGAGTTTTTTCTATTTCTTTGAAAAATACTTTTAAATTTTGATAGGGATCGCATTAAATCTGTAGATCACGCTGGGTAGTATGGACATTTTTACTACCATTATTATGGAAAATAATGGTATCTTTCCATTTATTTGTGTTTTCAATTTCTTTCATCAGTGTTTTATAGTTTTCAGTAAACAAGTCTTTTAGCACCTTGGTTAAACTTACACCTGAGTATTGAGTTTTTTATTGTTTTTTAAATGGGATTGTTTTCTTAATTTTCTTTTCCAGTAATTATTAGTACATAGAAACACTGTTAATTTTCTATGTTGATTTTGTATCCTGCAACTTTACTGACAACTTATGAATTTATCATTACATGAGTAATGCACTGTACTATGATGTTAGCATGGCTACAACATCACTAGGTAATCAAAGTTTTTCAGCTCTATCCTGTATGTGGTTTGTTGCCCAAAACATTGTTATGCAGTGCATAACTGTATTTGTAAAAGTTCTATATGATTAGAGTGCGCAATGCCAGAAAACTGAGAATCCCTGGTCAAGGAAATTAAGAATCACTGGTCAAGAGCTTCCAGGGCAATGTTAGACAACATTAGCAATAGCAGAAACACTTGTTTCCTATGAGAGTTTAATGAGAATGGTTTCACTGTTTAATTTTAAATGCAATCATAGCTTGTGGTTTTAGATATTCTCAAGTTAAGAAAACAGCCTTCTATTCCTGAATAAAGAACTTCTCTTTATTCAAATACTGATATTTATTAAGAGAGAGAGAGAGCGAGAAAGGAAAGAAGCAAAGGGAAGGGAAGCGAAGAAAAAGGGAAGGGAGGCAGGGAGGGAGGAAGGAAGGAGAAAGAAGGAAAAGAGAAAGAAAGGAAAGTAAAGGAAAGGAAAAAAGGGAAAGGGAAAAGGGAAAGGGAAAGGGAAGGAAAGGGGAAGGAAAGGAAAAGAAGAAGGAAGGGAGGAAAAGAAAGAAAAGAAAAGAGAAAATAGAAAAGCAAAGCAAAGCAAAGCCTGGCCAACATGGTGAAACCCCATCTCTACTAAAAATACAAAAATTAGCTGGGCATGGTGGCAGGCGCCTGTAGTCCCAGCTACTTGGGAGGCTGAGGCAGGAGAATCGCTTGAACCCAGGAGGTGGAGGTTGCAGTGAGCCGAGATGGCGCCGTTGCACTCCAGCCTGGGTGACAGAGGGAGACTTCATCTGAAAAAATAGAATAGAGAAGAAAGAAAAAAAGGAAAGGAAAGAAAGAAAGTTAGCACAGGACTTGTGCTTTCAGTGCCCTACTATTCTCTGCACTTTTTGATACACTTATCTTGAATGCTATCTTGATCTATATCTGTGTCTTATTTAGTATCTCTATTAATATTGTACATATCCACCCTATTACTTTTTTTTTTTTTTTTGAGATGGAATCTTGCTCTGTTACCCAGGCTGGAGTGCAGTGGTACAATCTCGGCTCACTGCAACCTCCACACTCTGGGTTCAAGCAATTCTCCTTGCCTCAGCCTCCCGAGTAGGAGATTACAGGTACCCACCATCACACCCAGCTAACTTTTTGTATTTTTTAGTAGAGACATGGTTTCACCATGACGGCCAGGCTCATCTTGAACTCCTGACCTCAGGTGATCTGCCCACCTCAGCCTCCCAAAGTGCTGGGATTACAGGCATGAGCCACCGCGCCCGGCCTCACCCTATTACTTTTTAATATGTTATATTAAGTGTTGTTTGTAAAAGGCATGGTCTACTAGGCAATAGCATCTTGAAACAAGCTTTGGGCTTGAAGTCTACAAACTTAAGTTTGTGTCATTTCTCTCGCAATTCCAATTATAAATTGCTCTTACCTTGGGCAAGTAATTTAACCTTTCTTGTTTGAGATCTCTTATCTTTAAAATGGGGGTGATAGTACCATGAATCTCAGAGCTTTTATGAGGATCAAATATAATAGTTTACTTGAAAGTAGTTTGTAGACTGTCAAGTTCCAGGTAAATGATAAAATAATAGGCACTGTGTAAGTGTAAGAGCTGTGACTAGAAACGAACTTATCTAATGCCCAGATGGTATGCTTCCCACTTTAAAAAGATATGCTAAAGTAGACTTTTGGAAGCTATTGATGTTTCGGTCAGTTGTGAACCGAGCTAGTGCTTCAAAAATGACTAAAAGGAAGAAGAGAAAATAGGGAGTAGCAGTCATATTTTATTTGTGTATATGTTTGTCTCTCCATGAATTTGTCAGTCACTTTCCAGAGGCCAAACAAGCTATAGGCAAGTCTCCTGTAGCATTAGTGATTAAACAGAAAATGGGAAACAAATTAGATAATGTCACCATGACAACCAGTGAGGCTATTTAATACACATCGACATTTTTACTGTATGTATTTGGTGAAAAACTGACCTAAAAATGTTCATGCAATGAGATTTTTGAATTACAAATTCTGCTCCAATCTTAAACTACTTTTCTTATGTTTTCGGTTGGATCTTTTATACAATTTTAAATTACACAAAGAATTTCTTTTTTTTTACATGAGGAATTTCAAAATTTCATTACACATTTTTAAAAGGCTACAATTTAAAATTACACAAGAAGATAGAAAAAATACTTTTTAATACAATAAGCAAAGCAGGACTATACAGCATTAAAAAAAAGGAACATACTCCTCTTGCCCATGCCAAGTCATTGCTTTCCCAGAGTAGCTCTATTAACAGTTTTACATATATCTTTCTGGGACGTTTTTAGGCATCTGAAAGCATGCATACACATACTTTCATCTTATAATGCACTATCTACCTATCTATCTAAAGAATACTTCTATTCTTTATTATCTACTGATTTATTTCTATAGCATAGCTTCACAAAAGTGGGATTTCTAAGGACAAGCAGTGTGTGTATGTGTGCACATGCACATTAAATCTAAGAAAACATTCGCAGATTATTTTCCAAATGTAAAACAATCATAGTAAATATACGAGAGTAGGGACAAGTGTGAAGAAGGGTGTAGAGGGGTAGAAAAGCAGGAATTTTTTCAGTTCCTGGATACAGAGGTCTCTTCAGAGTTCCCTTGAAACCAAACACACCCTGCCTTCCTGCACTTGTGTGAGCCAGTAACTTTTCTACTTTTCCTTGAACTGATTCAAATATAGTTTTTACACTTGCAGCTGAAATTGTTCTAGCTAGAAACAATCTACAAGGTAATGAGTTCAAGACTGTAGTAGCCAGAAACCACAAGTGGTCTACTATTTTTCCTCATTTTTGTTCCAGCCTCATTCTCTTGGTATTGGTATCTCATTCCCTTGAAATTAAATGAAGGCATTCTTTACTATTGCACTATTTTCCACCATAGATGCTGCTCTCTCGATGTATGTGACCAAATCTCATGTCATGGAAGCTGCCTGAAGACTTGAGAATTTCTTCTAGAATTCTCTTTTAGTCACAACACCTTAACTTTCACACTTTCACAAAATGCACTCTTGCACTTGTAATTTTCACAAGGATTATACATACCAACCATTCTTTCAGTGTCTAATTACAGTTCCTCTCTCCCCTTCGTGCACAGATCAAACTGAAAGATGGGTCTTGCCAGAAGATCAATGATTGATAACATAATTCTGTCCTACAAAATTTCCTCCACTACTTTCCTGGAATACCCTTCTTCTACTAAAGACTTTCTTTCCTCTTTCTAGTGATTCTTCAATACTTAAACCAGTCTAGTTGAGACAAAATTTGTACATCCCTTTGAAATTTTTTATTGCTACAATAAATGTCACTAAACATATTTTCTCCACAGTGACCCTCAAAAAAAACGTAGCATGTAGATCCATTATGTGTAATTCTCAACAGTGAGAAAAGTGGCATTTCCCTAACAACATAAACTTTGATAACAGACGTATTCTGTCAACACAAGCACAAATTTACACTAAATTTATGTGCTGATTCCAACTAACAGTGACACAGCTATGAGTAGGAGACATAAAATCAAAAATAACCATTGGAGAAAATACCCATAAAGGATACACATATTAAAAAAGTTACTGTGACAAATATGTTTAAAGAAGTTGTTACTCATTTTTTATATTTGGTATGCTTTCAAAAAATACCTAATGCCTTTTTTCCAGTATATGATGCATAGTGCTCAAACACTACACTACCATCATGTTCATTTCTCCAATTCAATTTTATCTAATGTAAACAAAATTTGGGAGAATCTGTTGAAATTATAATAGGACCAATGATACACCATTGCTTTATTCTATAACATGGGTGTGACTCTTTATTCCCCATGTCTCCTAACATCAAAATTTTGGGGGAAAAATGATTGAATTAAATTCTTAAAGAACATCTGACTAAATGCAATGATGTCCAGCTATGTGGCATTTTCCTGGGCACAATTCATGTCTGACTTGGGTGTCACATGGAGTTTGTGATTGATTAAATTACAAATAAAATAGAATGCCAGAATGTTTGGTAACTGCAGTACAGTGCAGGGCCAGGAAGGTCAAAATTGAAAAGGTGCAGAATGGATGCCCCAACACTTTGTGTGTGTGTGTGTGTGTGTGTGTGTGTGTGTGTGTGTGTGTGTGTGAGAGAGAGAGAGAAAGAGAGAGAGAGAGATGGAGTTTGCTCTTGTTGCCCAGGCTGGAGTGCAATGGCACCATCTCGGCTCAACACAACCTCCACCTCCCGGGTTCAAGCGATTCTCCTGCCTCAGCCTCCCAAGAGGCTGGGATTACAGGCATGCACCACCACACCTGGCTAATTTTATATTTTTAGTAGAAACGGGGTTTCTCCATGTTGGTCAGGCTGGTCTCAAACTCCCGACCTCAGGTGATCCACCTGACTCAGCCTTCCAAAGTGCTGGGATTACAGGCATGAGCCACCACACCCAGCCCCAACACATTTTTTTCGGCCTAAAATATTTAGCTCGAGAAATAACTATGGAATGTTATAGAGGCAAGTCCTTATTTATTACACATCAATCACCAGAAAGTGATGAGCAAAGAAGAGGTCTAAGAAATAAAAAAAAACTAGCACTTACAGAATCATTTAAAGTGAAAAATATTGGGTATTTTCACTAGGGAAAATCAAAGTACTTTTGGTGAATAGTATCTCTCATGTCAACAGTTTTGGAGCATTAGTTTCTCCATTGTGACCTAAAGCCTATGTGTCTTTAAGCCTATTGCCAAGCTCATGTGGAAAAATGTGACTGTGAGACCACTAAGGGAGAACTGCTAAAAGGACAAGTGTTTTGACATTGATTGCCTTAGATTCATGAAATGTAAAGTATATACAAAAAGTTAAAGATAAGATAACCAATTTGGCATCAGAACATAAAATATGTCAATGATGCATACACATACATATCCATAGATATAAATCTGCCATTATATGTATGTTCACACCAATGTGTTTATTATAGAGCAATACATAAGAATAGAAGTATAAGAACAAAATCCTGTCTAAAATTTCTGTATCTAGAAGAGACAGACTAATTCATGGTAGACCAATTCTCACACAAAGAAAAAAGAGAGGTGGATACAATATAAAATTATCTCTTTGAAGACATTAGGAAGCTATGATGACAGTCAGCATCTGAAGAACCCAGATAAAAAGAAAACGGAAACTCACTGAAAGAATAACGTTTCATATTATTTTTCTTCTCACTGCAAGAGCAGAAATTGAGAAGCTGAAAAAAAAGCAGAGCTATAGGCAGTGCTGTAGGTTGGGAACGAAAAGTATTAGCAGTCAGAGCCTAACGAGGAGAGATGATATAAGTAAATACTCCAGTTTCAAGTTAGAAATTACTAAGGAAGACCGGGCGTGGTGACTCACGCCTCTAATCCTAGCACTTTGGGAGGCCAAGGTGGGTGGATCACCTGAGGTCAGGAGTTTGAGACCAGCCTGGCCAACATGGTGAAACCCCGTCTCTACTGAAAATAGAGAACCCTGTGTCTACTAAAAATACAGAAATTGGCTGGATGTGGTGGCAGGCACCTATAATCCCAGCTACTGGAGAGGCTGAGGTGGGAGAATTGCTTGAGCCCAGTGGGTGGAGGTTGCAATGAGCCAAGACTGCACCACTGCACTCCAGCCTGGGTGACAGAGCAAAACTCCGTCTCAAAAAAAAAAAAAAAAAAAAGAAAGAAATTTCTAAGGAAAACACCCTATAGTATTTGTAAATCAGAAACATACCTATACCAGAACCTACAAATACAGAAAAGTCAAGATTAAATCAATTCAATTCTAGATATAGTATGGTGATCCATTTCTTAGCTATCAAAATTCCAAAGGAAATAATCTATAGGAACAGATAGCATCATCCAGATCATTTACAATTTTTATACATGTGGCTGGTATTTAAAAATTACCATAAAACCACATTTGATAAAATGGGAAAAAGAAAATAGAAGGGCCCAAGAAATTATTCAGTTTTTAGAGTTATTAGATATTAGACATTTAAATAACTACAATAAATATATTCAAAAAAGAGCATGTAAAATTTTAGCAAAGAACTATAATTCTTAAAATAATTATATCAAAATTCTTAAACATAAAAATATAACAGCTAAAAATTAGAACTCAAGCAATGAGTTTCCCAGCAGTTGAGACACTATTAAAGAGAGGACTGGTAATCTTTAAGATAGGTCCCTAGAAAAAATCCAGTCTGAAACTCAAAGAAAGAGCAGATACAAAAATAAAAGAAAAGAAAGAGCTTAAAAGTCATATAAGATAATGCAAATAGTCTAACCTATGTGAAATTGACATCCAGAAAAAAGAGAGGAAACAGAAAGAGTATATACCAAAAGCTGTATTTAAAGAGGTAATTTCTGAGAATTTTGCAAAAATAAAAAATGAAAAGGGCCACAGATATGAGATATACTATGTAATCCAAACAGCTTAATAACAAAGAAAAATATAGTATACAACAATGGAACTGTTGTGGAAAAGGTACAATGAAAAAAATCTTTGAGACAGAGTCTTACTCTATCACCCAGGCTGGACTGCAGGGGTGCAATCTCGGCTCACTGCAACCTCCACCTCCCAGGTTCAAGTGATTCAACTGCCTCAGCCTCCCAAATAGCTAGTATTACAGGTACGTGTCACCACACCCAGGTAATTTTATATGTTTCTGTAGTAGAGACTGGGTTTCTCCATGTTAGCCAGGCTGGTCTGGAACTCCTAACCTCAAGTGATTCACCTGCCTTGGCCTCCCAAAGTGCTGAGATTACAGGCATGAGCCACCACGTCCAGCCAATGAGAAAATCTTAAAAGCACCAAGTAAAAAAGACACATTTTTTTAAAAAAGAACAATAAAAAGTCTTACAACTGACATCCCAACAAAAATTTTGGAAGTTCAAAAACACTGGAATAACTACCAACAAAATTACAGAAATAGAAAATATATATTCCCTTATATGTATTAAGAAAATTACTCAAAAATTTTAAACATTCCCACAGACTTCTGATTTCTGTCAAGATGAAGTAAGCCCACTGAATCTTATCTCCTCCCATGATTACAACTAAGATATCTAGGCAAGATATGGAAAGCAACTACATGAGGGCTCTGAAAAGTCAGCAATAGCAAAAGAATTGAAAAGTAAGTCAAAACTTAAAGAACAACCATTATGGAGGTGAGGTTACAGTATTGTTTTTGTTTTTTCTCTCTGCTCTTTATCTTTTGGAGGGCTGCATAGGATACAAAACTGCACAGCAGGTACAAATTATAAAAATTCTGAAATAAATTCTTCTTTGGGAAATAGGCCCTCTGTGGACAAAAGGGTAGGGATAATTTACCACGTGTTTTTGTTTGTTTTGTATTCTTCTTTCTGCCAGCTCTGTTGGAAGCCTTACCTACTCACAAAGCTGCACTGCTGTTGGAACAACATGAACACCCAAAACAGCAATAACAACAAAATCCAAGTTCATTTTTGGCCAGAGGAACCAAGAGGCCCTGTGTTCTAAAGGAGTAGGGGGGATTCCTCCTACATTTTTCTTTTTTCTTGCAATTTTTTCCTGAAGGTTAAAGCCATACGAAACTACAGGAAAGTATAGGAAACTAAAATTCTGAGTGAAATTTCAGCTTTTTAGCCAGAGGACAGGAGCAATGTACCCACAGAGAAACTCCTCGGAAGGAAGAACTGGAGAAGAGGATTCCCTACTTTTATCTGTGAACTGGCTCAAGTTCTGGGCTCACCCTCATACTGTATATGCAAAACAGATGCAAATTAGCATAAAAAATATTTTTACAATAATCTATAGTATAAAACAATGCCCAAGTCTCACCCTAAACCCTGAGTTCCAGGATAGACCCAAACAAAATAACAAAGTCTTTGAAAACTATATTGGAACCACTGGCCACAGAAGATTAAACAGAATTTACATACTAAACCTGACCAGGTGGATTATCTGATAAAATACAACATACCCACACACACATCCTCCAAAGGATTTTTATTAACACAACCCAGAGTCTCACAGCAAAATATTTAAAATGTAATTAAAATGTATTGCACATACAAAGATCCAAGACAATATGACCAATTCTTGAGAAAAATGACAATCAAGAGATGTCAATGCCATAACTAATATTGTTAAAATATCCAAAATATCCAGATGATATGTTTTGGCTCTGTTTCCCCACCCAAATCTCATCTCAAATTGTAATCCCCATATGTTGAGGGAGGAACCTGGTGGCAGGTGAATGGATCATGAGGGCACTTCCCCCCATGCTTTTCTCACAATAGTGAGTGAGTTCTACAAGATCTAATGGTTTAAAAGTGTACAGCAATTTCACCCTGACTCTCTCTCCTGCCACCATGTAAAACATGCCTTTTTTCCCCTTCACCTTCCACCATTATTTTAAGTTTCCTGAGGCCTTGCCAGCCATGCATAACTGTGAGTCAATTAAACCTCATTTCTTTTTAAATTACCCAGTTTCAGGTGGTTCTTTATAGCAGTGTAAAAATTGACTAATCCAGAAAATCGGTACCAAGAGAAGTGGGACACTACTATAAAGATACCTGAAAATGTGGAAGCAACTTTGGAACTAGGAAACAGGCAGAGGTTGGAATAGGTTGGAGGGCTTAGAAAAAGACAGGAAGATGTGGGAAAGTTTGGAACTTCCTAGAGATTTAATGGTTTTGACCAAAATGCTGATAGTGATGGACAATTAAGTCCAGGCTGAGATGATCTCAGATGGAGATGAGGAACTTCTTAACTGGAGCAAAGGTAACTCTTGTTCTGCTTTAGCAAAGAGACTGGCAGCATTTTGCCCCTGCCCAAGATATCTGTGGAATTTTGAACTTGAGAGAGATGATTTGGGGTATCTGGCAGAAGAAATTTCTAAGCAGCAAAGCATTTGAGATTTGACCTGGCTTTTTCTGAAAGCCTACAGTTATATGCTTTCACAAAGAGATGGCCTGAAATTGGAACTTTAGTTTCAAAGAGAAGCAGAGCATAAAACTTTGGAAAATTTGCAGCCTGACCATGTGGTAGAAAGGAAAATCCCATTGTCTGGGGAAAATTCAAGCTGGCTACAGAAATTAGTCTAAGTAATGAGGAGCGAAATGTTAATCACCAAGACAATGGGGAAAATGTCTTCAGGGCATGTCAGAAAACTTGGAGGCACCCCTCTCATCACAGGCTGAGAGGCCTAGGAGGGGATAAAGGTTTCGTGGGCAGGACCCAGTGCCCCACTACTCTGTGCAGCCTCAGAACATGATGCCTTGCATCCCAGCCACTCCAGCTGCAGCCATTGCTAAAAGGGCCCAAGTTACAGCACATGCAGTTGCTCCAGAGGGAACAAGCCCAAAACCTTGGCAGTTTCCAGTGGTGTTGTACCTCCAGGTGCCCAAAATACAAAAGTTGAGCTTTGGGAGCCTCCACCTAGATTTCATAGGATGTATGAAAACATCTGGATGTCCAGGCAGAAGTTTGCTGCAGGGGCGGAGCCCTCATGGAGAACCTGTGCTAGGACAGTGTGGAAGGGAAATGTGGAGTTGGAGCTCCCACACAGAGTATTCACTGGGGCACTGCCTAGTGGAGCTGTGAAAAAAGGACCACCATCCTCTAGACCCCAGAATAATAGATCCACCCACAGCTTGCACCATGTGCCTGGAAAAGCTGCAGGCATTCAATGCCAGCCCATGAAAGCTGCCATGGGGCTGTAACCTACAGAGCCACAGGGGTGGAGCTGCCCAATGCCTTGGGAGACTGCTTCTTGCATCAGCGTGCCCTGGATGTGAGACATGGATTCAAAGGAGATTATTTTGGATCTTTAAGATTTAATGAGTGCCCTGTCAGGTTTTGGACTTGCATGGGGCCTGCAGCCTATTTGTTTTGGCCAATTTACCCCCCATGGAATGAGAACATTTACCCAATGCCTGTACCCTCATTGTATCTTGAAAGTAACTAACTTGTGTTTTATTTTACAGGCTCATAAATGGGAGGGACTTGCCTTGTCTCAGATGAGACTTTGGACTTGAATTTTTGGGATAATGCTAAAATGAGTTCAGACTTTCAGGGACTGTTAGGAAGGCATAATTGTGTTCTGCAATGTGAGAAGGACATGAGATTTGGGAGGGGCCAGGGTCAGAATGATATGGTTTGGCTGTTTCCCCACCCAAATCTCTTCTAGAATTGTAATCCCCATATGTCAACGGAGGGACCTGTGGGAGGTGATTGGACTATGGGGGTGGTCCCCCATGCTGTTCTCATGATAATGAGTTCTTTTGCGACCTCATTATGCATGAGTGTGCAGCAGTTCCCCCCTTCACACTGTCTCATGCCACCATGTGAACAAGGTCTTTGATTCCCCTTCGCCTTCCACCATGATTGTAAGTTTCCTGAGACCTCCCAGTTTCACTTCCTGTTAAGGCTGCAGTCAATTAAACCTCTTTTATTTATAAATTACCCAGTCTCAGGTAGTTCTTTACAGCAGTGTGAAAACTGACTAATACGCCAGGCAATCTACAGATTCAATGCAATCCTTATCAAAATTCCAATGGCATGTTTCACAAAAATAGAAAAAAAGTACTAAAATTTATGTAGAACAGCAAAAGACCTGAATAGCCAAAGCAATCTTTAGCAAGAATAACAAAGCTGGAGCCTGATTTCCAATGATGTCACAAAGGTATAATATACAAAACACCATGGTATTGATGTTAAAATTGACACATAAACCAATGGAACAGAAAAGCAAACCCAAAATAAACCCATGCATGTACAATCAAATAATTTTCAACAAGATGCCAAGAACACAGTGGGGAAAGGATTGTCTCTTCAATAAATGGTACTGGGAAAACTAGACATTCACCATAAAATAATGAAATTAGACCCTGATCATATGCCATACACAAAAATCAACTCAAAAAGTATTAAAGACTTAAATATAAGATCTGAACTGTAAAATGCCTAAAAGAAAATATAGGGAACAAGCTCCTTGGCATTGGTCTTAGTGATAATTTTTGGGGTATGACACCAAAAGCACAGGTGACAAAAACAAAAATAAATACATGGAACTACACCAAATTTAAAAGCTTCTGCACAATGAATGAAACAATAAGCACAATGTAAAGGCAACCTACAGACTGGAAAAATATTTGCAAACCATATATCTGATAAGGGGTTAATATTTAAAACATACGAGTAACACATACAACTCAATAGCAAAAGAAGACAGAACTCAATTTAAATATGGGCAACAGACTTAAATAGACATTTATCCAAAGAAGACACACAGATGGCCAATACGTTTATGAAAAGCTGCTCAACACCACCAACCATCAGGATAATGCAAATCAAACTACAGTAAGATATCACATGAATATCACATGTGATAGGTTGGTTATTATTGAATATAAAAAAGATAAGTGTTGGTGAGGATGTGGAGAAAAGGGAACCCTTGTGCACTGTTGGTGAGTATATTTATTGGTATAGCCATTATGGAAAATAATACAGAATCACTTCCTTCAAAAATTAATAACAGAACTACCATATGATCCAGCAATTCTACTTCTGGGTATATGGCCAAAGGAAATGAAATCAGTATGTCAAAAGGATACCTGCACTCCCATGTTTATTGCAGCATTATTCACAATACCCAAATTATGGAAACAACCTATGTGTTTATCAACAAATGAATGTATAAAGAAAATGTGATACATATAATATTCATATACATATGAAATTATATAAACCTTAAAAAATAAGAAAATCCTATTTGCAGCAATATGGATGAACCCAGAAGACATTATGCTAAGTGAAATAAGCCAGACACAATAGAAAAACATGGCGTGATCTCATTTGTAAATGGAATCTAAAAATAGTCAAATTCATAGAAGCAGAGATTAGAATGGTGATTATCAGAGGTAAGGGGTTGAGGTAAATAGGGAGATGTTGGGCAAAGGGTAAAAAGTTTCCCTTATGTAGAATAAATTCTAACAATCTAATGTACAGCCTGGGTACTATAGATAATATTTTATTGTATACATCAAATTCGCTGAGAGCAGATATTAAGTGCTCTTATCACAAAAAACTACAGAAAGATAAATGTTAATTCACTTGACTGTACTAATTAGTTCAGTCTATATGTGTATATTAAAACATCACACTGTATACTTTAAATTAAAAAATAAAATAGGGATGTCAATATTAAGATGACCCAAATGTTCAAATTATAGACAAAGACTCTAAATCATCTACCTGTAAATGTATTGATTTCATTCTCTAAGACTTTTAAAAATTATTGTTTTAATGTAAAACAAGTATAAATAAATAATGTAAAAAACAAGTATGTATATGTAATACATAAGAGGCTGGCCTTTATAGATTTTGCTTTCTTTTTCAGGGATGGTGTCTTACGTAATACTACCAAATAAATCAATGCTTCTCAAACATTAATGTGCATGCAGATTACCTGGAAATATTGTTCAAGTGTATCTTGTAATCCAGTAGATCTGGGATCTGACCTGACATTCTACATTCTCACAAACTCCCAGGTATTGCTGATGAATTATGCTTAGTGGTAATATAATAAAAATCTTGGATTTATAAGTCTATTTGGAAAATACTGGGGGTCATGCTATTGTAGATACTTCTTAAGTGACCTAATTTTTCTTCTTAATTTTTAAAGCTTCAGTATTTCATAATCCAATAAATAAAGCTAGTTACTGTTACTATCTATAATAGAGTTCATTAAAAGGATATTTATGTGTTTCTTCTTTTCTTCACTAAATGACTAAGAAGCAAACATTGAAAATCATTTAGGATAAGAAGTCATATACAGTTTTTGTCCAAAATGGTTCCTACTTTTAAAGAATGTAATATTAAATGGTTTGCCTGATAATTGAATTCCTCATCATAAAATACACACACACACACACACACACACACACACATCTGCCAAAAAACTTTAAAAATATTTTATACTAGAATATGAGCTCTCTTGTGGGAAAACATAAACATTGTAAGTATGGCATATTACCAGCAACTTTCATTTAAATATAAAATTGAATTTTGTCAGTGTTTATGGCAGCTAGTGAAATTTTAGGTAAGAAAGTAGCCAAGTGTCTCATAATTAAGTAGTTCAGCTTTTTTAAATTTCCAAAAAAACATTAACAGAATTCCATCTGGAAACTTAAAATTATACTCAAACATCTCTAAATTTCTCACAGAGAAAAATAAACATCACAAAATGAAAGCAGGTCATAAATTATTCAACACAATGGAAAGCATTTATGGTCTAACAACAAAGAAAAAGGACTGTGATTTAACCCCTCTGATTACAGATTCCAGGCAACTATTACAATCTCTAAAGGCCAGGAAATCCTAGGGTTCCTTTGCAAGTAATTTATAAGTCATTGTGTTCTATTTCAAACTGCAGCACAAATGAAGAGAAAAAAGAACCTTCAGTAAAATGGCAATAATAAAGTGACACACTTTTCAATTAATTTTAGGTATCCAAGGTAACCTGATCATGACTAAACGGTAAAATTTCAAATGAATCACCACAGCAAAATGCAGAATGTTAAATTACATGAAATGCTTTACAATATTAAGTAGTTATTTAGCTAACTCTAGAATTTCTAAAAGAACATCCAAAAATGTATTATAAAAATAATTTTCTATTTCCAAACGTTTTATATAATGTTACACGTTTATATAAAACGTTTGATCAGTAATGATTTTATGAGCCTAGTTATAAGCATAATACATGTGGACAGTGCATTGCTAGAAGAAAAAGATGCCTTTAAATTGTTTACCTGATTGCCCTTACTGGTAAAAAGTATACACATGAAAAGTATATTTATGATGCAATAAAATTATAATTCAATATAATTATTCTAGCATATAGATATTGTTTCCTTCATGCATCTACTGCTCTTGGGTTGTATGTTATTAAACTTATCCCATATTTTCATGAGGATTCACTTACATATATATTCCTGCCACTGCTTTGTGAGAATTTTGAAGGTTTGGATCGTATCATTTTTAGCTTCACATCTCTCCACGAGCATCTCGTCCGTGTAAGTTATCAGTGAACTTTAAGTGAAATTATTATTGCTTTAGAGTATGGATTTCTTTCCTGACTTAAATCACTACAGAGTATTTCCTTAATGGTTAAAATAATATTCTGATACCCATTAAAATAATTTTCAAACTCTTAAGATAAATGTCAGTTTTAATGTAAGCACCAATAAACAGGCTAGTGGTTTTCCACTCTCAAAATTCAGAGATCTCTTTCCCTTCCACTCAAAAATGTAAATTCTTACAATGACAGATCCACTCAAGCTATAGTCAAAAGAATAAAACAGTTCCCTACATGGATATGTCCCCTTCCACAGGCTGCCCAGTCTATAATCAAAAATGTTGCCATGACTCAATAGAAATTTATATTTTAGTATCTACTCTGTATCTGGCAATGGGCAAATATATGAAGAAAATAGAAACCTCAACTTTGTTCAGTATTCAGTTGGGAAGAATAGATAGACAACTAAATATCAAAGAGCTACACATCAAAGTGCTGGGAGTATACTCAGGAATGCTTTGCTTGACCTAACTGGCTGTTGTCCCTCAGAACTAATAATTTGCAATTTGGAACTGCTCACCTTGGATAGTTAGCCCAACTATGCTGCCAATATTCAAACACAACTGAAATTCATTCCTTAGTATTACATTACCTTTATGGAAGTTTTCAAACTACACACTATGAGTCTCTCTTGCTACTTTGTAATATTGATACCCCAAATTTCAGTTGCCTTGGTATTCACAATTCATATGGGCTATTCCCTTTAATATTCAATGCTAAACACACATAAATTTCTATTAAGTGAATATTAATGGTGATATTTAATATTTAGTTCTATTAAAATAGCTTATCCCCACCCTATATGTAGGGAAAACCAAATCTCTCGATATTTTTCTTACTTCTTCTACTCATTTCCTTTTGTTTTGCTTTGTTTTCATTCTTTTTTTCATTAGAGGTGAAAACAATATCCCATTTTTCATTCGTATAAATATGAGGTGTACAAGTACAGTTTTGTACAATGCATAGATTGCCTAGTGGTGAAGTCTGGGCTTTCAGAGTAGCCATCACCCAAATAATGTACATTGTACCCATTAAGTAATTTCTCATCCTTTAACTTTCTTCTACTCTTCCACCCTTCTGAGTCTCCAATGTCTATCAGTCCACTCTCTATGTCCATGTGTACACTTTTCTTCGCTTCCACTTATAAGTAGAACATTTGATATTGGACTTTATGTTTCTGAATTATTTCACTTAAGTTAATGGCTTCCAATTCCATCTGTGTTGCTGCAAATGGCATGATTTCTATATCTTTTACTGCTGAATAGTATTCCATTGTTTATATGGCATATTTTCTTTTTTTCATTTTTTTCCTTCAACTTTTAAGTTCAGGGGTACATGTGCAGAATGTGTGGGTTTGATACATAGGTAAATGTGTGGCATGTGGGTTTGCTGCACTGATCATCCCCTCACCTAGGTATTAAGACAGCATCAATTAGCTATTCTTCCTGATGCTCTCCCTGCCCCCAAAACCCTGACAGGACCCAGTATGTGTTTTCCCCCACCCCATCTTTCCATGTGTTCTCATCATTCACCTCCCACTTATAGGTGAGAATGTGCAGTGTTTGTTTTTCTGTTCCTGTGTTAGTTTGCTGGGGACAATGACTTCCAACTGCATCCATGTCCCTGCAAAGGACATGATCTCATTCTTTTTATAGCTGCATAGTATTCCATGGTGTGTATGTACCACATTTTCCTCATCCGGTGTATCACTGATGAACATTTAGATTGATTCCATGTCTTTGCTATTGTAAATAGTGCTGCAATTAACATACATGTCCAGGTATCCTTATAAATGATTTATATTCCTGTGGGTATATACCCAGTAATGAGATTGCTGCGTCACATGGTATTTCTGTTTCTAGATCTTTGAGGAATTGTCACACTGTCTTCCGCAGTGGTTGGACTAATTTACACTTCCACTAGCAGTGTAAAGGTGTTCCTTTTCTCTGCAACCTCACCAGCATCTGTTGTATTTTAACTTTTTAATAACCATTTTGACTAGGATGCAACGCTATCACAGGTAGTTTTGATTTGCCTCTCTCATGATCAGTGGTATTGAGTGTTTTTTCACATTTGTTGGCCACATGTATGTCTTTTTTAATTTTTATTTTACTTTAAGTTCTGCGATATATATGCAGAATGTGCAGGTTTGTTACATAGGTATATGCGTGCCATGTTGGTTTGCTGCACCTGTCAACTCATCATTTAAGTTATAAGCCTGCATATATTAGCTGTTTGTCCTGGTGCTCTCCTTCCCTTCGCCCCCCAACCCTGACAGGTCCTGGTAAGTGCTGTTCCCCTCCCTGTGTCCATGTGTTCTCATTGTTCAACTCCCACTTATGAGAACATGAGGTGTTTTGTTTTCTGTACCTGTGTTACTTTGCTGAGGATGATGGCTTCCAGCATCATCCATGCCACTGCAAAAGACATCATATCATTCCTTTTTATGGCTGCACAGTATTCCATGGTGTATATGTATCACATTTTCTATTATCCAGTCTGTTATTGGTGGGAATTTGGGTTGGTTCCGTGTCTTTGCTATCGTAAACGGTGCTGCAGCAAACATATGTTTGCATGTATCTTCATAGAATAATTTATATTCCTTTGGGTATATATACAGTAACAGGGTTGCTGGGACAAATGGTATTTCTGGTTCTAGGTCCTTGAGGAATTGCCACATTGTATTCCACAATGGTTAAACTAATTTACTGTATTAGTCCCTTTTCACACTGTTGATAAAGACATACCTGAGACTGGGAAGTAAAAGAGGTTTAATTGTACTTACAGTTCCACATGGCTGGGGAGGCCTTAGAATCATAATGTGAGGGAAAAGGCACTTCTTACATGGTGGCAGCAAGAGAAAATCAGGAAGAAGCAGAAGTGGAAACTCTTGATAAACCCATCAGATCGGGTGAGACTTATTCACTGTCACAAGAATAGCATGGGAAAGACCGGCCCCCATGATTCAATTACCTCCCCCTGAGTCCCTCGCACAATGCCTGGGGATTTTTGGAGATACAATTCGAGTTGAGATTCGGGGGGGACACAGTCAAACCATATCATTTACATTCCCACCAATAGTGTAAAAGCTTTCCTATTTCTCCACAGTCTCACCAGCATCTGTTACTTCTTGACTTTTTAATTATCACCATTCTGACTGGAGTGAGCTGGTATCTCATTGCGGTTTTGATTTGCATTTCTCTAATGATCAGTGATGTTGAGCATTTTTTCATGTGTTTCTTGGCCACATAAATGTCTTCCTTTGAGAAGTGTCTGCTCATACACTTTACCCACTTTTTGATGGGGTTTTCTGTTTTGTAAATTTAAGTTCCTTGTAGATTCTGGATATTAGACCTTTGTCAGATGGGTAGATCGCAAAACTTTTCTCCCATTCTGTAGGTTGCCTGTTCACTCTGATGATAGCTTCTTTTGCTGTGCATCAGCTGTTTAATTATATCCCGTTTGTCAATTTTAGCTTTTCTTGCAATTGCTTTTGGTGTTTTCGTCGTGATATCTTTGCCCATGCCTATGTCCTGGATGGTATTGCTTAGGTTTTCTTCTAGGATTTTTATGGCTTTGGGTTTTACATTTAAGTCTTTAATCCATCTTGAGTTTATTTTTCTATAAGGTGTAAAAAGGGATCCAGTTTCAGTTTTCTGCCTATGGCCAGCCAGTTTTCCCAGCACCATTTATTAAATAGGGAATCCTTTCCTCATTGCTTGTTCTTGTTAGTTTTGTCCAAGATCAGATGGTTGTAGATGTGCTCTTATTTCTGAGTTCTCTATTCTTTTCCATTGGTCTATGTGTCTGTTCTTGTACCAGAACCAAAGAGAAAAATCATATGATTCTCTGAATAGATGTAGAAAAGACCTTTGATAAAATTCACCATACATTCATCTTAAAAACTCCCAATAAACTAGATATTGAAGGAACATACTGCAAAATAAGAGCCATTTATGACAAACCTACAGCCGACATCATTCTGAATGAACAAAAGCTGGAAGCATTCCCCTTGAAAACTGGCACAAGACAAGGATGCCCTCTCTCATCACTCCTATTCAATATAATATTAGATGTTCTGGCCAGGGCAATCAGGCAAGAGAAATAAATAAAGCGTATTTAAATAGGAAGAGAGAAAGTCAAACTCTGTTTGCAGATGACATGATCCTATATCTAGAAAACCCCATCGTCTCAGCCCAAAAGCTTCTTAAGCAGATAAGCAACTTCAGCAAAGCCTCAGGATACAAAATCAATGTTCAAAAATTAGAAGCATTCCTTTACAACAATAACAGGCAAGCAGAGAGCCAAATCACGAGTGAACTCCCATTCACAATTGCTACAAAAGAATAAAATACCTAGGAATACAGCTAACAAGGGATGTGAAGGACCTCTTCAAGGAGAAATACAAATCACTGCTCAAAGCAATCAGACAGGGAGAGAACACAAACAAATTTTAAAAATTCCATACTCATGGATAGGAAGAATCAATATCGTGAAAATGACCATACTGCCCCAAGCAATTAAAAGATTCAATTATATTCCCATTAAACTACCATTGACATTCTTCACAGAATTAGGCGTATTTTAAAATTCATGTGGAACCAAAACAGAGCCCAAATAGCCAGACAATCCTAAACAAAAAGAACAAAGCTGGAGGCATCACACTACCCAACTTCAAACTATACTACAAGGCTACAGTAACCAAATTAGCATAGTACAGGTACTACATTTTCGTTATACAATCATCCATTGTTGGACGCAGGCTGACTCTATATCTTTGCTATTGTGAATAGTGCTCTAATAAACATGCAAATCTAAGTATATTTTTATGTAATAATTTTCTTCCCTTTAGGTAGATATACAGTGGTGAAATTACTCAATTGAACGATATTTCTATTTTCACTTGAGAAATCTCCATAAGGTTTTACGTAGAAGTTGTACTAGTTTACATTGTCACAAAAAGTGGATAAGCATTCTTTTTTCTCTGTATCACTGTTAGCATCTGTTCCTTTTATACTTTTTGGTAATAGCCATTCGGACACATGTAAGATAATATTTCATTGTTATTTTAATTTCTGCTTCTCTGATGATTAGTGATGTTGAGCATTTTTATATGCTTTTTGGGCATTCATATGTCTTTTTTGAAAAGAATGTCTATTCATGTTCTTTGCCCATTTTTTAATGGGGTTGTTTTTTGTTGTTTGAATTTCTTATAAATTCGGGATATCAATCCTGTGTTGGATGCATCATTTGCAAATATTTTCTTCCATTCTGAAGGTTTTCTGCCCAAAGTAATTTGTAGATTCAATGCTATCCCCATTAAACTAACATTGACATTCTTCATGGAATTAGAAAAATCTATTTTAATATTCATATGTACCCAAAAAGAGGCCCAAATAGCCAAGACAATCCTAAGCAAAAAGAACAAAGCTGGAGGCATCATGTTACCCAACTTCAAACTCTGTTATTCCTTTTCTATTATTTAAAACGTTACTTTTTTTAAAAAAACTCGTTATTTCTATTATTTCTTTTAGCAATGCAGATTTTTAGTTTAATTAAATACCATTTGTCTATTTCTGTTTTTGTCGTTTGTACTTTTGACATCTTAGTCATGAATTTTGTCTATAACAATGCCCAGAAGTTTTCTCTAGGTTTACTTCTAGTATTTTAGTAGTTTCAAGTCTTACATTTAAGCCTTTAATCCATCTTAAGTTGATTTGTATACATGCTCAGAGATAGTTCAATTTCATTTTTATCTGCATATAGTAATCCAATTTACACACACCATTTATTGAAAAGTGTCCTTTCCTGTAGTATATTTTTGCCAACTTTGTCAAAAATCAGTTGGCTGTAAATATGTACCTTTATTTCTGCGTTCTCCATTCTGTTCCATTGATCTACATGTCTATTTTTGTACCAATACCATGATGTTTTAATTATTGTAGCCTTGTAATATAATTTGACGTCAGGTAATGTGATACCTCCAGCTTTGTTCTTTTTGCATAGGATTGCTTTGGCTATTCATTTGGTTCCATGTAAATTTTAGGATTGGTTTTTCCATTTCTGGGAAGAATGACATTGGTATTTTGATAGGAATTGCATTGAACCTGTAGAATGCTCTAAGTAGTATGGTCATTTTAACAATATTAATCCCCCTGATGCATAAATGTGGTATATTTTTCGATTCGTGGTATCTACAATTTCTTTATTCAATGTTTTCTAGTTTTCCTTATAGAGGTCTTTCATCTCCTTGGTTAAATGTATTCCTAGACATTCTATTTTTCTGATCGCTATTGTAAATAGGATTGCCTTCTTGATTTGGTTCCCAGCTTGATGGTTATTGGTAAACAGAAATGCTACTTATTTTTGTACACTGATTTTGTATCCTGAAACTTTACCAAATTCATTTATCAAATGTAAGAGATTTATAGAGGAGTCTTCAGGGTTTTCTAGATCATATAATTGATGAATAGAGATAATTTGACTTCCTCTTTTTCAATTTAGATGCCATTTATTCCTCTCTCTTGCCTGAGTGCTGTGGCTAGGACTTCCAGTACTCTGTTGAATAGGAAAAGTGAGAGTGAGCATCTTTGTCTGGTTCCATTTCTTTTTAAGGGGGATTGCTTTCACCTTTCCCCATTCAGCATAATATAGGCTGTAGGTTTCTCATATATGACCTTTATTATTTTGAGATATGTTCCTTCTGTGCCTGGTTTATTGAGGATTTTTATCATTACACAATGCTGAGTTTTATCTAATGTTTTCTATATATATTGAGATATTCATAGTTTTTGTTATAATACTCTATGTAATAAGTAAAATTTATTGATTTTCCTATACTGAACCATCCTTTCATCCCTGGAATCAAACAATTAGTCATGATTTATTGTTTTTTTATGTGCTGTTGGATTCAATACACTAGTATTTTGTTGAGGATTTTTGCACCAGTGTTCATCAGAAATATTGGTATGTAGAGGTTGTATTGTGGGATCCTGACTTTGTAGAATGAGTTAGGGAAGTTTCCCTCCTCAATTTTTGGAACAATTTCAGGAGAATTGGTACAGTTCCTTTTTATAAGTTTGGTAGAATTTGACTGTGAATCTATCAAGTCCTATGCTTTTTTTTGTTGGGAAATTTTTTTATTACTAATTCACTTTCACTATTCATTGTTGGTATGTTCAGGATTTCAATTTATACCTGGTTCAATCTTGGGAGGTTGTATGTTTCCAGAAATTTATCTATTCTCTCTAGGTTTTCTAGTTTGTGAGTGTGTAGTTCTTCATAGCAGTATCTGTTTTTTGTTTTGTTTTGTTTTTTCCTGTGGGCTTAATTGTAATGTCTCCTTTTTCACTTCTGATTATTTTTATTTGGATCTCCTCTCTTCTTTCCTTGGTTAGTCTAGGTAGCAGTTTATCAATTTTGTTTTTTCAAATAACCATCTTTTCATTCATTGATCTTTTGTATTTTTTGTCTCAATTTCATTTAGTTCTGCTCGAATATATGTTATTTATTTTCTTCTGCTAGATTTGGGTTTAGTTTGTTCTTATTTTTCTAGTTCCTTTAGGTGTGACATTAGGTTGTTAATTTATAGTATTTCTCTTTTTTGAAGTTAACATTTAATGTTATAAACTTCCCTCTTAGCACTGCCTTTATGGTATCTACAGGTTTTGATATGTTGTGTCTCCAATTACATTCATTTCAAAAGGTTTGTTTTTTGTTTTGTTTTTTGAGACGGAGTCTCTCTCTGTCACCCAGGCTGGAGTGCAGTGGCATGATCTCGGCTCACTGCAAGCTCCGCCTCCCACGTTCACGACATTCTCCTGCCTCAGCCTCCAGAGTAGCTGGGACTACAGGCACCTGCCACCACGCCCGGCTAATTTTTTTGTATTTTTAGTAGAGACGGGGTTTCACCGTGTTAGCCAGGATGGTCTCGATCTCCTGAGCTCGTGATCCACCCGCCTCAGCCTCCCAAAGTGCTGGGATTACAGGTGTGAGCCAACATGCCCGGCCTCATTTCAAAAGACTTTTAAATTTTCTTCTTAAATTCATCATTGATCCAAAGATCATTCAGGAGCGTTAATTTCCAGGTATTTGTATGGTTTCAAGAGATTCTCTTGGCATTAATTTCTAGTTTTATTCTGCTGTGATCTGAGACGATATTTGATATAATTTTTATTTTTAAAAATTTACTGAGTCATGTTTTATGGCCTAACATGTGATCTACCTTGGAAGATGTTCCATGCGTTGATGAGAATATATTTTCTGTGTTTCTTCAATAGAATGTTTTGTAAATATCTGTTAGGTCTATTTGGTCTAAAATTCAAGTTAAGTCTCAAGGTTCTTTGCTGATTTTCTCTCTCAATGACCTGTCTAATGTGGAGATTAGGGCATTGAAGCTCTCCACTATATTTTATTGGTGTCTATTTATTTAAGTCTAGTAATATTTGTTTTATAAATCTAGGTGCTCCAGTGTTGGGTGCATATAGATTTAGAATTGTTACATCCTCTTGTATTGACCCTTCATCATTATTTAATGACCTTTTTATTGTTTTACTGTGAATTTTGTTGATTTAAAGTCTGTTTTATCTGATCTGATCATAGTTATTCCTGTTCACTTTTTATTTCCATTTGTGTGGAATATTTTTTTCACCCCTTCACCTTCAGCCTGTAAGTGTCATTGTGAGTTTTTTGTAAGCAGCTGTTTAGGGAAAAACTCCCTCAAATCATGTTTTCCCACTGCTCTCACACCACAGCAACAACAATCATAAACCCTAAGATTTCTGTGACTAAATGTGTGAGGGTTTTCCTCCAGCCACCAAGAAGCAGACACCAGCTGGTTTTCCATGAATTCAATTCTTGCATAATGTACCTGGAGACAGTGCCAGATCCCACAGGGTAAGCACTCATCCTCAAAACTGCCCCTTTCCACCAATGCCACTCACAAGTCCAGTCCTCTAGAATTTCTAACTGATTAGTTTCAAATTGGGACTTCCATGATTCCCTCTTTGGGTTTAACTAATTTGGAGATGCATCTCACAGAACTCAGGGGAACACTTATTTATGTTTAGCCGTTCATTTTAAAGAATATTATAAAGGATACATACATAAGAGGTACTCAGGACAAAGCATGAGGGAAGGGATGCTGAGCATCCATGCCCCCTCTGGACGTGCCACCCTCCAGGAAATTCTACATCTCCACTTATCTGAAAACTCTCCAACCCAGTAATCTTGGGTTTTTATAGAAGCTTCATGACATCAGCATTCCTTACCTAGGTATAGGGTGGGAACTTTCTGAGGTGGGTCTTATGACCCACAATCAGAAAGGCAGGGGAAGAATGGAGTCCTGTCTTGCAGCAGGTAAAGGAGGACAGGAAAAAGAGAGATACTATTTCCTGAAGCCTAACCCAGAAGCTTAACACACCCAACATTATAACAAAAGATTGAAACAAGGGTTATGGGACTTATGAGCCAAGAGCTGTGGACGAAAACCTATAAATATACATTCAACACCACAGCAGCATACAGTTGGTTCACTTTTTATCCATTCTGCCAATCTATACTTTAAGTGGAGCATTTAATCCATTTATGTTCAACCTTAATATTGATATGTGGAGTTTTATACCCATCATAATGTTCATTATTATCTAGTTGTTTTGTGGATTCTTAGATTCTTGCTTTTTTTTTTCTTTTCTCTCTCTGCTTATCTTTATGGTTTGGTGGAGTTCTGTCTTGTTGCCATTTGATTTTTTTTTCTCTTCGTCCCTTGTGTAGTAGTTTTTTAAGACCTGTGAGTTTTGTACTTTCATGTATTTTTACCATGGAGAATACTAACCTTTTCCCATGTTTAGAACGCCTTGGAACATTTCTTGTAGAGCCACACTAGGGATGACAAATTCCTTCAGTGTTTGCTTGTCTGAAAAAGACTTTCTCTTTCATTTATGAAAGTTACTCTGACAAGATATAGTATTTGTGATTGCCAGTTTTTTTTTTTTTCTTTTTCCTTAAGCACCTTGAAAATAGGGCACAAATCTCTTCTGGTTTCTAAGGCTTCTGCTGAGAATCACAATGTAAGCCTAATTTGGTTTCCTTTACAGGGACTAAATGTTTTTCTCTTGCTGATTTTAAGGTTTTTCTTCTTTCACTTTGACTTTAGAAAGTCTGATGACTACATGTAATGGTGAATTTCATCTTGCAATGTATTTTCCTAGTATTTGTTGGGCCTTTTGTATCTAGATATTCAAATATCTTGCTAGACCAGTGAAATCTTTTGTCAATTATTTCCTTAAACAGGTTTTCTAAACATTTTGCTTTCTCTTCTCCCTTGAGAATACCAATGATTCCTAAGTTACATTGCTTTATGCAGTTCCATACTTCTCTAAGGTTTTGTTCATTCTTTTAAAAAAATTTTTGGGCCAGGCGCAGTGGCTCATGCCTGTAATCCCAGCACTTTGGGAGGCTGAGGCGGGCAGATCACAAGGTCAGGAGATCAAGACCATCCTGGCTAACACGGTAAAAACCCATCTCTACTAAAAATACAAAAAACAAAAAAAATTAGCCAGGCGTTTTTGCGGGTGCCTGTAGTCCCAGCTACTACTCGGGAGGCTGAGGCAGGAGAATGGCGTGAACCCGGGAGGCGGAGCTTGCAGTGAGCCAAGATCATGCCATTGCACTCCAGCCTGGGCAACAGAACAAGACTCCATCTCAAACAAAATAATTTGTCTGACTGAATAAATTCAAAAGACATATATTCGATGTTTTAGATATTCTCTTCTGCTTGGTCTAGGTTATTGTTGAAGCTTTCAGCAGTATATTGTAATTCTTTCAATAATTTTTTTTGTTTTCAAAAGTTCTGTTTTATTATTTTAGCTTTTAAAGATATCTCCTTGGTAAATTTCTCATTCATATCCTGATCTGATTTTCTGACTTTGTATTATTTTTTCAGATTTATCTCTCATTGAGCTTCTTTAAAATTAATATTTTGAATTCCTTACATAACATTTCAAACATTTCTTTTTAGTAGGATCCATATCTAGAGATTATTGTCTTCCTTTGGGGATTTCATAACACCTTGCTTTTTCATGTGTTCAGAATTATTATGCTGATTTCTCCACATCTGAAGAAACAGTCAACTCTTACTTTTTAATTTATTGGGGTGTGATATAGTTTGGATATGTGTCTCCTTCAAATCTCATGTTGAAATGTGATTGCCAATGTTGGAGGGGATGGAGAGTAGGAGATGTCCAGGTCATAGGGTAGATCTTTTATGAATGGCTTGGTGCCATCCCCATGATAAGTGAGTTCTCACTGTGGTAATCCACATAAAAGCTTGTTGTTTAAAAGACTGTGGCACCTCCCCCCACCTTGCTCCCTCTCTCATCGTGTGATGTTCCTGCTCCCTTCACCTACCGCTATTTGTGAAAGCTTCTTGAGGCCCTCACCAGAAGCATTTGCCAAGACTACACTTCCTGTACAGCCTTTAGAACTGTAAGGCAAAGTAACCCAATTTTCTTAATAAATCACCCAGTCTCAGTTATTCCTTTATAACCACACAAATGGACCAACCCAGGGTGGGACTTTTTCTTAAGGATGTGATAATGATATATGTTGGATAGAACCATTTGGTTTTGCTTCTGGGTGCATTCAGTAGTGAAAACTCTGTATAATTTTCATAGTTAGTGTGCTGGCTTTCTCAAATGCCAGTTGCAGTAGTAGTATCCTGGAAAGTGAGTGGGCTCATTACCTTCGGAGAAGCCAGAGTTGTGTGGACAATGGTAGTAGCAGAAGTCACAAGAAGCCTATCTCACTCCCAAGTGCTCTGCACTTATGTCAGCACATTTTGTGTTGGGTTACGTAGGTGGTGCTTGCAGCTAAGAGTCACCTGATGTAGTAGCAATAGGGTTTATACTTCATCTTTGCTTATACCTCAAGAAGTGCTCCAGGGTTCCCGGTAGTGGGTTGTGCCCTAGAGCACTCAAGGGCCTGGGTCCCACATTTTGCACAGGAGGGAGTGGGGAAGCTGGGTGGAGTCAGACCAGGGAGGCCTGCATGCCAGTGGTATGTGTAAGCACAAGCCCTGACAGGGGTCACAGGTAGTCTTCAGACCCCTGGAACAAGGTGCTATCTCTGTATAAGAGACGCAGTCCTAGCACCATGACTTTGGCAAGAAATAATGGGGTCTTTTTTCCTCTCACATGCCTGACCCAGCATTCAGGATATTCAGTTAGGTTAGATAATAGAATTTCCCTTTTAATTTATTCTTTGACCCATTGGTTGTTTGGGAGCATGTTGTTTAATTTCCATGTATTTGTGAATTTTTTGAAATTACTCATTATTGATCTGAATCTATATAATTGTATTTTGAAAAAATACTTGATATGATTTTAAACTTATTAAATTTGTTAAAATTTGTTTTGTGGCCTAGCGTATGATGTATCCTGGAGAATAATTCATCTGCTCTTGAGGAGAATATGGGTTCTGGTGCTGTTAGATGGAATGTTCTGTAAATCTCTGTTAGGTCTATTTCAAAAGTGTAGTTCAAGTTCAATATTTCCTTATTGATTTTCTGTCTTGATAATCTGTGTATAGCTGAAAGTAAGATTTTAAAGTTCCTTGCTATTATTGTATTATAGTCTATATTTTACTTGAGGCCTAGTAACATTGATTTATATACGTAGGTGCTCTAATGTTAGGTATGGAGAATTATTACTGATTCAATTTATAATTTTATGTAAAACTCATAATTGTTATATCTTCTTGAGGAATTGACAACTTTATCATCATATACTGACCTTTTTGTGTCTCTTTTTACAGTTTTTGATGTAAATTCTACTTTATCTAAGTATAGCTACCCATGCTGTCTTTTGGTTTCTATTTGCATGGAATATGTTTTTGCATTTCTTCACTTTCATTCTATAAGTGTCCTTACAGTTGAAGTGAGTCTCTTGTAAGAAGCCTGGGTCTTTTAAAAAATATCTGTATTGGTCCATTTTCATGCTGCTGATAAAGACATACCTGAGACTGTGCAATTTATAAGAGAAAGAGGCTTATTGGACTTAGCGTTCCACATGGCTAGGGAGGCCTAACAATCATGGTGGAAGGAAAGGAGCAAGTCACATCTTACATGGATGGCAGCAGGCAAAGAAAGAGCTTGTGCAGGGAAACTCCTGTTTTTAAAACCATCAGATCTTGTGAGACCCAATCACTATCACAAAACAGCATGGGGAAAAGCCCACCCCCATGATTCAGTCATTTCCCACTGGGTCCCTTCCACAACACTTGGGAATTATGGGAGCTACAAGATGAGATTTGTGTGGGGACACAGAGCCAAACCATATCATTCCATCCCAGCCCCTCCCAAATCTCCTATCTTCACATTTCAAAATGAATCATGCCTTCCCAACAGTCCCCCAAAGTCTTAACTCATTTCAGAATTAACTCAAAAGTCTACAGTACAAAGTCTCATCTGGGACAAGGCAAGTCCCTTCTGCCTATAAGCTTGTAAAATCAAAAGCAAGTTACTTGCTTCCTAGATACAATGGAGGTACAGTCATTGGGTAAATACAGCCATTCCAAATGGGAAAAATTGGCCAAAATAAAGGGGATACAGGTCCCATGCAAGTCCAGAATCCAGCAGGGCAGTCAAATCTTAAAGCTCCAAAATGATCTCCTTTGACTTCATGTCTCACATCCAGGTCATGCTGATGCAAGAGGTAGGTTTCCATAGTTTTGGGCAGCTCTGCCTCTGTGACTTTGCAGGGTACCACCTCCCTTTCAGCTGCCTTCATGGGCTGGCATTGAGTGTCTGTGGCTTTTCCAGGTGCACAGTGCAAGGTGTCAGTGGATATACCATTCTGGGGTCTGGAGGATGGTGGTCCTCTTCTCACAACTCCATTAGGTGGTACCCCAGTAGGGACTCTATGCTGGGGCTTCTACCCCACATTTTCCTTCTGCACTGCCATAGCAGAGGTTCTCCATGAGGACTCCGCCTTTGTAAAACACTTCTGCCTGTACATCTAGGCATTTCCATATACCCTCTAAAATCTAGATGGAGGTTCCCAAACCTCAGTTCTTGACTTCTATGCACCTGCAGGCTCAACACAACCTGGAAGCTGCCAAGGCTTTGGGCTTGCACCCTCTGAAGCCATGGCCCGAGCTTTAGCTTGGCCCCTTTTAGTCACAGCTGGAGCAGCTGGGACACAGGGCACCAAGTCTCTAGCTTTGTGCACATAGCACAAAGTCCCTGGGCCTGGCCCATGAAACCATTTTACCCTCCTAGGCCTCTGGGCCTGTGATGGGAGGGGTTGCCATGAAGCCTTCTGACATGCCCAGGAGACATTTTCCTCATCGTCTTGAGGATTAACATTTGGCTCCTCGTTACTTCTGCAAATTTCTGCAGCCAGCTTGAATTTCTCCTCTGACAATGGTATTTTATTTTCTATTGCATTGTCAGGCTGCAAATTTTCCAAATTTTATGCTCTGCTTTCCTTATAAAACTGAATGCCTTTAACAGCACCCAAGTCATCTCTTGAATGCTTTGCCACTTAGAAATTTCTCCTGCCAGATACCCTAAATCATCTCTCTCAAGTTCAAAATTCCACAAATCTCTAGGGCAGAGGCAAAATGCTGCCAGTTTCTTTGCTAAAACATAACAGGAGTCACCTTTGCTCCAGTTCCCAATAAGTTTCTCGTTTCCATCTGAGACCACCTCTGCCTAGACTTTATTGTCCATATCACTATCAACATTTTGGGCAAAGCCATTCAACAAGTCTCTAGGAAGTTCCAAACTTTCCCACATTTTCCTGTCTTCTTTTGATCCCTCCAAACTGTTCCAACCTCTGCCTGTTACCCAGTTCCAAGGTCATTTCCACATTTTCAAGTATCTTTTCGGCAACACCCCACTATCTTGGTACCAATTTACCATATTAGTCCATTTTCATACCGCTGATAAAGACAGACCTGAGACTGGGCAATTTGCAAAAGAAAGAGGTTTAATAGACTTACAGTTCCACATGGTTGGGGAGGCCTCACAATCATGGTGGAAGGCAAGGAGGGGCAAATCGGGTCTTACATGGATGGCAGCGGGCAAAGAAAGAGCTTGTGCAGAGAAACTCCCATTCTTAAAAACTTCATCAGATCTCATGAGACTTATTCACTATCATGAGAACAGCACAGGAAAGACCCATCCCCACGATTCAATCATCTCCCAGTGGGTCCCACAACATGTGGGAAGTATGGGAGCTACAAGATGAGATTTGGGTGGGGACACAAAGCTAAACCATATCAATATCCATTCAACTTATGTCTTTTGATTAGAGAATTTAATCCAATTTCATTCAAAGTTATTCTTGATAGGCTAGGTCTTATGACTGCCATTTTGTTCCTTGCTTTCTAGTTGACTGTAGACCCTTTCTTCCTTTCTTCCTCTTACTGTCTTCCTTTGTTATTAGGTGATGTTCTCAAGTACTGTGCTTTGATTCCTGACTTTTAATATTTTTTGTATCTACTATAGTCAATCCTAATATAAAACAGGAGAAATAATTACTAAAACTACAACAGAAATATACATATTACATAGCAGAATTAATAAGTCTAAGAGCTAGCTCTTTGAGCATTTAGTGAAATTCTGAAACTATAAGCCAATCTTTCAAGTAGTAAACCAAATCTATGGACCAATCTTATAATGGTACATGACAAAAATAAAATGATTTGAAATTACTATTGTGATAATTTTAAATGATTTACTAAAGAATAAATTGCTCATGAGGTCAGGAGTTCAAGACCAGCCTAGCCAACATGGTGAAACCACGTCTCTACTAAAAAATACAAAAAATTAGTTGGGTGCAGTGGCACGCACCTGTAATTCTAGCTACTCGGGAGGCCAAGGCAGGCGAATCACTTGAACTCAGGAGGTGGAGGCTACAGTGAGCCGAGATCACGCCAATGCACTCTAGCCTGGGCCACAGAGCAAGACTTCATCTAAAAATAAATAAATAAATACTAAGCAGAAATAGAAAACAGATGAACAAACTGAGGTATTATTGAAACAAGTATTCCTAAAATTGTTTCAATAGAAGCATAATTAAATTGATAAATCAGAAAAAAATACTGGAGGAGATAGAACAAGATGGCTGAATAGAACGCACCAGTTATTGTCCTATGGCAGGAACACCAAACTGAGCAACCATCCATACGTGAAAGTGCCTTTGTAATAACCCAAAATTAAGTGATGACAGTACATGATTTAAACCTCATATCAAGGTAAGAGGCACTGAAGGGGGAAGAAAAGACACCCTTGAATTGCCGACACCACCCCTTCCCCATCCCCCAGCAATGACAGTGTTGGGGATGGAGAGTGCAGTTTGTGGAACTTTGCATTAGAACTCAGTCCTGCCCGTCACAGCAGAAAGTAATATGGGGCAGAAATTGACTGGCACCCACAGAGGGAGCAGTTAGACCTGCTCTAGCCAGTACAAATAATCAAACCCAATGGTCAGAAACTGTGTTCTGGCAAGCCCAGCTGTCATGTGCTGAAGTGCTCTGGGGTCCTAAATAACATTGAAGGCTAGCTAGGCTACAAGGACTACAACCTAGTGAGAAACCAGTCTGATCAGACAAGGAAGTGCTTATGTCACCTCTCCTCCAACCCCAGGCAGTGAAGATTACAGCTCTAGGAGAGACTCCTTTCCTCCACTTAATGAGAGTACACAGGAGAGTAAAGAGCATGGGAGAAGGGTGAGAATCAAAAAAGCACCTATCGGGTACTATGCTTGTTACTTGGATGATGAAATAATCTGTACATCAAACACCTGTGACATGCAATTTACCCATACAAGAAACCTGGCCGGGCGCGGTGGCTCACGCCTGTAATCCCAGCACTTTGGGAGGCCGAGGCGGGCGGATCACGAGGTCAGGAGATCGAGACCATTCTGGTTAACACGGTGAAACCCCGTCTCTACTAAAAATACAAAAAATTAGCCGGGCGTGGTAGCGGGCGCCTGTAGTCCCAGCTACTCGGGAGGCTGAGGCAGGAGAATGGCGTGAACCCGGGAGGCGGAGCTTGCAGTGAGCCGAGATCGCGCCACTGCACTCCAGCCTGGGCAACAGAGCGAGACTCCATCTCAAAAAAAAAAAAAAAAAAAAAAAAAAAAAAAAAAAAAAAGAAACCTACACATGTATCCCTTGGACCTAAAATAGAAGTTGTAAAGAAAAATAAACTGAAAACAAATATACAAGGAAAAAAACAGCAAAAAATTAAAAAATAACACCATAGAAAATAATATTCACTAAAAGGAAGACAAGAAAATAAAGAAGACAACAAAACAACTGGAAAATAATATAATTGAATGTAAATGTACTAACCAATAAAAATACACAGAGTAGATGAATAGATTTTTTGAAAAAAATGAGCCAACAATCCATTACCTTTAAGAAATACACTTCACCTGTAGACATGCATAAATTAAAAATAAAAGGATGGAAAAAGTCCATGCAAATGGAAGCCAAAATACAGTAGCAGAAGACAAAATCGATTTCAAGACATAAACTGTTTAAAAAAAAAAGCCGCAAAGATTATCATATAATAATAAAGGGGCCAATTCAGCAAGATAATTTAAAAATTTTAAGTATATATACACCCAATACTGGAGCACTCAGGTGTACAAAGCAAATATTATTAGAGCTAAAAAGAGAAATAGACCCCAATACAGTAAGAGCTGGGGACTTCAACACACCACTGGCAGCATCGGACAAAACATTCAGACAGAAAATCAACAATGAAACATTAGACTTAATCTGCAATATAAGCCAAATGGACCTAATAGATACTTACAGAAAATTTCATCCAACAACTACAGAATACACGTTTTTCTTAACATATAGATCATTCTCAAGGATAGACCATATGTTAGGCTACAAGTCATAAAAAATCCAAAAAATTGAAGTTATATCAAATGTCTTCTTTTACCACAATGCAATAAAACTACAAAGAAAAATAAGAGGATTGTTGAAAACTATACAAACACATGGAAATTAAACAATACACTCCTGAATGACCAGTTGGTCAATGAAGAAATTATAAAATTTTAAAATTTCTTTAAACTAACGATAATGAAAACAAAACATACCAAAACCAATGGGATACGGCAAAAGCACCACCAAGGGGAATACATACAGCAATAAGCATCTACATCAAAAAAGAAAAAACAATTTAAATGAACAACTTGATGATATATCTTAAAGAACTGGAGGAGCAAGAGCACCCAAAATTAGTAGAAAAAAAGAAACAATAGAGATCAGAGCAGAAATAAATGAAATTGGAAGAAGAAAAACATAATGAAATGAAAAGTTGGTTTTTGAAAAGATAAACCAAATTGTGAATACTTTACCCAGACTAACTTAAAAAAAAGAGAGACAACCCAAATAAATAAAATCGGAGATGAAGAAGGAGACTTTACAAACACGACCACAGAAATTCAAAGGATCATTAGAGACTAATATGAGCAATTACATGCCAAAGAATTGGAAATTCTAGAAGAAATGAATAAATTTCTACGCACATACAACCTACCAAGATTGAACCACGAAGAAATGCAAAACCTGAACAGATCAATATCAAGTAATGAGATAAAGCCCTTAAAAAATGTATCCCAACAACAACAAAAGTGTGGCACATGTCAGCCTCACTGCTGAATTCAACCGAACATTTAAATAACTGAAACCAATCCTACTCACACTAGTCCACCAAATAGAGGAGGAGTAGATATGTCCAAAAACATTCTATAAAGCCAATGTTACACTGATGTCAAAACCAAACAATAACACAGCAAAACAAGAAAACTAAGGCCAGTATCTCTGATCAATATTGATGCAAAAATCCTAAACAAAATACTAGCAAACTATCTTCAACACAACATTCCAAAAACCATACATGATTACTAAGTTGGATTTATCTCAGGGATGCAAGGATGGTTCAACATATGCAAATCAATCAATGTGATACATCATATTAACATTATAAAAATGTGTCTATTCCTTGTTAGACATAGAAGTCAATATACGCACATTTGATTATACTATAAAAATGGTGTCGATATTCCTATAAGGCTGTATCATTATTTTTGAAATCTGGAGGTCTTCTGCTGGTACTTTGTTTTATATTTTATTTTTATTAAATCTATGATCATTTGTATTATTTTAAACACAGTTTATAATTATCTAATTATATCTAATAATACCCATTATTTGAAGTCCTTGATGTTCTAAATATGCTATCTGCAGTATATAATGACTATGGCTAATGGATCCCTGTTTTTTATTTTTAGACTGTAAATTCATGTTTGATGAAATTTTGTATATAAAACTTGTGGGGCCTGAGTTGAAGTGAGTTCTTCAGATTTCTTTTGCATTTGCTTCTGCTAGGTGTCTCATGAGTATGGCAATTCGAGAACCATTTTTAAATATTAATTTTTATCTTTTGTTAAGATCACAGGGATACAAAAGTTCCAAGTTCAAATTCACATGAAGATTGGACTAGGATGATAAATTGCCACAGATTTTTTTTAAATTTCTCTAAAATACAAGTCAAAACAGGCAAACTTGACTGTCATCTTCCTTAGCCAGTGTCAGAAGATGTTTTGTATAAAAGACGTTGTTTCCTAAGGATCCTAGCATTTTTGAAGATCTCAATTTGAACTCTCATTTTTGTAAGAATTCAAAACCTTATCTCCCTCCCACTCTGATATGGTTTGGCCATGTCCCCACCCAAATCTCATCTTGAATTCCCATGTGTTGTCAGAGGGACCTGGTGGGAGGTAATGGAATCATGGAGGGAGGTGTTTCACATGCTGTTCTCGTGATAGTAAATAAGTCTCTAAAAATCTGGTGGTTTTAAAAAGAGGAGTTCCCCTGCTCAAGTTGTCTCTTTGCCGCTGACATCCGCGTAAGACGTGATTTGTTCCTCCTTGCCTTCATTATTGTGAGGCTTCCCCAGCCATGTGGAACTGTAAGTCCAATTAAACCTCTTTCTTTTGTAAATTGCCCAGTCTCAGGTATGTCTTTATCAGCAGCATGAAAATGGACTAATAGACACTCCCATGTAGCCATTACTACACAAATACCTTGGTTGCTAAAATCTACCAATCCCCAAATCCCACAGAACAGTCTAGATTCAGTTTCTGTGTAGAGTAGCAAGTTGCTCTTTATCATATATACTAATAATCTCCCATATTTCTTCCTAGCCCAGTTATGTATTTAAAGAATACTGATTATATTTCATTCAACATTTCCATTTATTTTGTATCAAGGCTATTTTAGGATATTTAATCAATTTGATATTGCTGGAAACACAACCAAATCTTATTTTCCTGTACTCATTATTAATCTTGTTCACATTTTTTTGCTACCTGGAAGAACCTATAAGAACATCAAACCCTTTGAACCTGTATTGATCAGGACAGGTTGTTCTTACAGAGAACTCCTCTTCTCCTTCTGACTACAAGTACATACCTTCATTTGAGAGGCCAAGCAAATACAATCAGGAACAAAAAGAGAGCAGATGGAAAATAATTCCTTTTGTTTATTTTTGTAATCCTGCTGTCTTGGTGCAATTTATGTTGCTGTAACAGGATACCTCAAACTGGGTAATTTACAATGAACAGAAATTTATTTGCTCATGGTTATAGAGGCTGGGAAGTTCCAGAATATGGTACTGGCATCTGCCAAGGGCCTTTGTGCTGTGTCATCCCATGGTGGAAGGTAGAAGAGCAAAAAAAAGCAAGAATGAATGAAGAAGAGAAGGATAAATTCATTTTTATAAGAAAGCCTCTCTCATGATAACTAACCCAGAACTGCAATAACGACATTAATCCATTCACAAGGGCAGAGGCCTCATGACCTAATCACCTCTTATTGGTTCCCACTTCCCAACACTGTTGCATTAGTGATTAAGTTTCCAACACAGCAATGAGGGCACATTCAAACCATCTGCTATCACCATTTCCCTAATGTTACAAAGAATAAGACATTTCACCAGTTTGAGTCCCCTTAAGGCAAATCCAAAAATCCTCTAGGTTCTCTCTGACCATCTTCAGTTCAACTTCTTGTTCTACAGAGACTTTTTTTTTTTTTTTTTGAGACAGAGTTTCGCTCTTGCTGCCCAGGCTGGAGTGCAATGTCATGATCTCCACTCACCGCAAACTCTGCCCCCCAGTTCAAGTGATTCTCCAGCCTCAGCCTCCCAAGTAGCTGGGATTACAGGTATGTGCCACCACACCTGGCTAATTTTTTGTATTTTTTAGTAGAGAAGGGGTTTCTCCATGTTTGTCAGACTGGTCTTGAACCCCGACCTCAGGTGATTCACCTGCCTCAGCCTCCCAAAGTTCTAGGATTACAGGTGTGAGCCACCATGCCCAGCTGAGACCTCTTTTTTTCAGAAAACATTTTAGAAAAAATATTTGTCTTTGGCTACATTGCCTTACCACCTTTCTGTTTCCTACTGCTATCTCTAGTAGCCCATTTAGAAATTGAGAAAAAAAATACATGGAAGTCATTTTAACACAAGGTACTTTTTTTTGGCAGAAAACTGTTGTAATCTGATATTAGACTATCCCATGAGCATAGCAACAGCATGATATGACTTGATTAACACTTCCCCCATACCACCTGGGACATGCTGTGCACATAGTGAATGTCCAACAATAACTTGTTCATTGATTTATTAATTATTCAACTGGCATAAATTCTCAAACACCTTCCATATGTCAATGTCTTCACCTAACTAAAACACTGTTTTGTATTTTAGAAAAATGAAGTCAAGTATTCACTAAAACTGTACATTTGCAAGGTGGTGATGAACCGAATTTGTCATTTTAGTTTTCCCTTGGTGAATTTCTAGATTATGTTATCCTTTGGCTTTGCAATTTTATAAATTCTATAAACTTCTCTCCTTTGTTGTTGAATTATTCATCATTCCATTTAGGGGAAATGTTCGTGTGCTCTTAATGTTTTTTTAAAAAATGTAATAAGACCTTCCTTTTATGTCCTTTCAAATCAAAAAGAAAGAAAAAAAAACTTTCCAAAAGTCTTCCTTTATTTAATAAGCACTGAGAATGTCTTCTATTTGTACATTGTCCTGAAATACTATTTTTTGACTGATCTGAATAGATTTGCCAACATTATCTGAGTCTTCTAATGACAGTTATAGCTATCTGAAAACAGGTAACAGGATTTTTCATTATTAAAAGTAAAGTGGCCCCTTCATTTATTCAGGGATCATTATCTGTAAGTCTCAATTTACAGAATCAGCAAGTTAGCCAAAAAGACTAAAATGAGTATCAAAAATAGATAGTAGCAAGTTTATGTGATGCCTACAGAATAATGGCAAGAGAGAGAGGGCAAAGAAGAGAGAGAAGAAGGGGGAACTGAGAGATAGCTAAAAGCTAGCATACTGACAGCAGTTAAGAAGTGAAGTTGAGATTTTGAAAAAGAGGAAGAAGGTAGAAAATTATAAAAGTAAACACCTCAAAAACAGACCAGTGTGAAATTTAAAATGGAGATAAACTTATACATCTGAAGAGCAATAGAGATCAACGACCTATTACACAATAACTGATTCAGGTGGTCCCTGACTTATCATTTGACTTATCATTTCTTGACTTTACAACTATGCAAAAGTGATATGCCATTTAGTAAACTCTTCAACTTAGAACAGGTATGTCCAGTTAAACACATTGTAAGTAAAAAAAAAAAAAAATTAAGTCAAAAATATTTTCAATTTATGATGGATTATTGTGATATAGCCCCCATCATAAGTCAAGAGCATTAGTATTTACCATTATGTTCATGGCGAACCAAAACTCATGTATTCAAGTTCAAACTATTCCATATAATAAGGTTATTACGTATAATTAATTTTGGAAATGTATCCTTCAAACTTGGTAAGGAACTTCCCAAATATGTTTTAGTATCCATAGGGAGTTTTTACCTGAGTTCTAAATAAATTAATATGTCATTTCTTTAATTTATAATTTTTGTGGGTACATAGTAGTTATATATACTTATGGGTTACATGAGATATTTTAATGCAGGTATGCAATGTGTAATAATCACCTCAGTGTAACTGGGGTATCCATCACGTCAAGCATTTATCCTTTGTATTACAAACAATCTAATTATACTCTTTCAGTTTTTAAAATGTACAATTAAATTATTTTTAACTATAGTCACTCTGTTGTGCTAGCAAATACTAGGTCTTATTTGTTCTTTCTATTTTTTGTACACATTAACCATTATACTTCCCCCCAACTCCCCAATCCCTCCAACTACCTTTCCAAGCCTCTGGTAATCATCCTCTTACTCTCTATCTCCATGAGTTCAATTGTTTTAATTTTTAGCTCCACAAATAAGTGAGAACATGTGAAGTTTGTCTTTCTGTGCCTGGCTTATTTCACTTTACACTTAATAACCTACATTTCCATCCATGTTGTTGCAAATGGCAGAATCTCATTCTTTATTATGGCTGAATAGTATTCCATTGTGTATACGTACCACATTTTCTTTATCCACGCATCTGTTGATGGACATTTATATTGCTTCCAAATCTTGGCTATCATGAACAGTGTTGCAATAAACACAGGAGTACAGATATCTCTGTGATATACTGATTTCCTTTATTTTGGGTATGTACTTGGCAGTTTCATTGCTGGATAATATAGTAGCTCTATTTTTAGTTTTCTAAGGAAATTCCAAACTGTTCTTCATAGTGGTTTTACTACTATGGATGAGGATTCCCTTTTCTATACATCCTCACCAGCATTTGTTATTGCCTTTTAGATATAAGCCATTTTAACTGCAGTAAAATGATACCTCATTGTAGTTTTGAGGTGCATTTCTCTCATGATCAGTGATGCTGAGCACCTCTTCATATACATGTTTGACATTTACATGTCCTTTTTTGAGAAATGTCTATTCAGGTCTTTTGTCCATTTTTAATTGAATTATTAGATTTTTTCTATAGCGTTAAGATTCATATACATTATGGACATTAATCTCTTGTCAGATGAATAGCCTGCAAATATTTTCTTCCATTGTGTGGGTTGTCTCTTCATTTTGTTGTTTCTTTTGCTGTGCAGAGGTTTTTAACTTGATGTGATTCTATTTGTCCATTTTTACTTTGATTGCCTGTGTTTGTGGCTTTTTTTTTTTTGTCAGAGTCTCCCTCTGTCGCCCAGGCTGGAGTGCAGTGGCACGATCTTTGGCTTACTGCAAGCTCCGCCTCCCAGTTCACGCCATTCTCCTGCTTCAGCCAACCAAGTAGCTGGGACTATAGGCACCCACCACCACGCCCGACTAATTCTTTGTGTTTTTTAGTAGAGACGGGGTTTCACCATGTTAGCCAGGATGGTCTCGATCTCCTGACCTCATGATCCACCCGCCTCGGCCTCCCAAAGTGCTGGGATTACAGGCGTAAGCCACTGCCCCCAGCCACTTGTAGCATATTATTAAAGAAATCTTTGCCCAGATCAATGTCCTGGAAAGTTTTCCCAGCCCTTTCTTTTACTAGTTTTATAGTTTGAGGGCTAAGATTTAAGTCTTTAAGTCCATTTTAATTGATTTTTGTATACGCTGCAGATGGGGGTCTAGTGTCATTCTTCTGCACATGGATATCCAGTTTACCCAGTACCATTTATTGAAGAGACTGTCCTTTCCCCAGTGTATGTTCTTGGTACCTTGTCAAACATGAGTTCACTTGCAGATGTATAGATTTACTTCTGGGTTCTCCACTGTGTTGAGAATAGAGAATATTAATCTCTATTGGTCAGTGTGTCTCTTTGTATGCCAGTACCATACTATTTGGGGGACTGTAGCTCTGTAGTATAATCTGAAGTCAGGAAACGTGATTCCTCCAGTTTTTTTCCTTTTGCTTATGATGGCTTTGGCTATTCTGGGTGTTTTGTTGTTCCACACAAATTTTAGAATTGGATTTTCTATTTCTATGAAGAATATCATTGGTATTTTGATAGGGATTGCATTGAAACTGTGGGTAGTATGAACATTTTAACAATATTGATTCTTCTATTCCAGAATCATGGCATATATTTCCATATTTTTGATCCTCTTCAATTTTTTGCATCAGTATTTTATAGTTTTCAATGTAGAGATCTTCTCTCCTTTGGTTAACTCCTAGCTATTGCATTTTATGTGTAGCTATTGACAGTGGGGTTACTTTCTTGATTTCTTTCTCAGATTGTTTCTTGCTGGCATACAGAAATGCTACTGATTTTTTGTATGTTCATTTTGCATCCTGCAACTTTACTGAATTTATCAGTTCTGATAGGTTTTTTGCAGTGTCTTGGGGTTTTTTCAAATATAATATCATGTAATCTGCAAACAAGAATAATTTCACTTCTTCCTTTTCAATTTGAATGCCCTTTATTTCTTTCTCTTGTCTAATTGCTCTAGGTAGGACATCTGGTACTATTTTGAATAACAGTGGTGAATGTGAGCATCTTTGTCTTGTTCCAGATCTTAGAGAAAAGGCTTTCAGGTTTTCACATCCAGTATGATATAGCTGTGGGTCTATTGTTTACAGCTTTTTATTGTGTTGTGGTATGTTCCAGTTTTTGAGGGTTTTTATCATGAAGGGATGTTGAATTTTATCAAATGATTTTCAGCATCAATTGAAATGATTATACAGTTTTTGTTCTTCTTTCTGTTGATATGATGTATAACATTGATTGATTTGCATATGTTGAACCATCCTTGCATCCCTGGGATAAACATAATTTGATCATCATAAATGACCTTTGGAATGTTGTGTTGAAGTTAGTTGGCTAGTATTTTCTTTAGGATTTTTGCATCAGTATTCATCAGAGATATTGGCCTTAGTTTTCTTGTTTTCTGTGTCCTTGTTTGGTTTTGTTATCAGGGTAATACTGGCCTTGTAGAATGTGTTTCAAAGTATCTCCTCCTCCTCTATTTTTTGAAATAGTTTGAGTAGGATTTGCTATTTGTTATTTAAATGTTTGGTAGAATTCATCAGTGAAGCTATTGGGTCCTGGGCTTTTCTTTACTAGGAGAATTTTTGTTATGGTTTTGGTCTCATTACTTGTTATTGATCTGTTCAGGTTTCAGATTTCTTTATGGTTCAATCTTGGTAGGTTGTATGTTCTAGGAATTTATCCATTTCTTCTAGATTTTTCCAATTTATTGGCATATAGCTGCTCATAGTAGCCACTAATGATCCTTTGAATTTCTGCAGTATCAATTGTAATGTCTCCTTTTTCGCCTCTGATTTTATTTATTTGGGTCTTCTCTCTTTTTTTTTTCTTAACCTAACTAAAGGTTAGGCAATGTTTTTAACTTTTTTAAAAAAACCACTTTTTTTCATTCATCTTTTGTATTGTTTTCTTCCTTTCAATTTCACTTATTTCTATTCACTATCATTTCTTTCTTCTGCTAATTTTGGTTTTGGTTTCCTAGTTACTTGAGATGCATTGTTAGGTTGTTTATTTGAAGTTTTTCTTCTTTTTGATGTAGGTGCTTATAGTTATAAAATTCCCTCTTAGTACTGCTTTTGCTGTATCCTATAGGTTTTGGTCTTGTGTTTTCACTACCATTTGTTTCAAGAAAATTGTAAAATTTTTCCTCAGTTTTTTGTTTGGCTCACAGTTCATTCAGAAGCACATTGTTTAATTTGCACATCTGTACAGTTTCAAAAATTGTTATTATTATTGATCTGTAGTTTATTCCATTGTGGTTAACATAGGTGCTTTATATTATTTCAATTTTTAAAATGTTTTAAGACTCATTTTGTGATCTAACGTAAGTTCTATCCTTGAGAATGATCCATGTGCTGAGGAGAAGAATGCATATTCTGCAGCTATTCAACAAAATGCTTTGTAAATATATATTTGTTCAATTTGGTTTATACTGTAGAATAAGTCTAATATTTCTTTGTTGATTTCCTGTCTGGGAGATCTGTCCAATTCTGAAAGTGGGCTGTTGAAGTCTCCAGCTCTTATTGTATTAGGGGTCTCTCTCTATATATAACATGAATAATATTTGCTTTACATATCTGGGTTCTCCAGTATTGGATGCATATGTAAGTGTTGTATCATCTTGCTGAATTGGTCCCTTTATCATATAATAACTTTGTCTCTTTTTGTAGTTTTTTTCTAAAAATCTATTTTGTGTGATGTAAGTATGGTTACTTCTGCTCTTTTTTGGTTTCCATTTGTATGGAATATCTTCTTCCAACCTTTTATTTCCATCTATGTATGTCTTCATAGGTGAAGCGTGTTTCTTATAAATTATTGGGTCTTGTTTTTTATCCACTGTACCACTCTAAGTCTTCCAATTGGAGAGTTTAGTACATTTACATTCAGTGTTATTATTGATAAGTTAGGACTAACTCCTGCCATTTTATTAGTTTTCTGGTTGTTTTGTGGTCTTCTCTTCTTTCCTTCCTTTCTGTCTTCTTTTAGTGAAGGTGATTTTCTCTGGTGGTATGATTTTTTTTTTTACTTTTTGTGTATCAATTTTTTGATTTGAGGTTACCATAAAGCTTGCAAATATTATCTTGTAACCCATTATCTTAAGCTGATAACAACTAAACACTGCTTGCATAAACAAACAAGCAAAGTGATAGCTAATAAAAACCCTAAACTTTAATTTCATCCTCCTGGTTTTTAACTTTTTTGTTTCAATTTACATTTATTGTATTGTCTATGTCTTGAAATGTTGTCATTATTTTTATTGATTTATCATTTAACTTTCTACTTAAGATGAGAGTAGTTTACATAACACAGTGTTAGAATATTCTGGAGCTTTTTTCTGGGTACTATCACCAGTGAGTTTTTAAACTTCTGTTGATTTCTTATTGCTCAATGTTTTTTCTCTTTCTGATTGAACTACTCCCTTTAGCATTTCTTGTAGTACAGGTCTGGTGTTGATGAAATCCCTCAGCTTTTGTATGTCTGGGACCATCGTTATTTTCCCTTCATGTTTGAGAGATTTTTTTTTTTTTTTTTTTTTTTTTTGGCTGAATATACTATTCTAGAGTAAAAGTTTTTTTGTTTCTTTTTTTCTTCAGCACTTTATGTCACACCACCTTCTCCTAGCCAATAGGGTTTCCACTGAAAAGTCTGCTGCCAGATGTATTGGAACTCCATTGTATGTTCTTTCTTTTCTCTTGCTGCTTGTATGATGTTTACTTTATCCTTGACCTTTGGAAGTTTTATTATTAAATGCCTTGAGGTAGTCTTCTTTGGGCTAAATCTGCTTGGTGTTCTGTACTCTTCTTGTACTTGCATATTGATACCTTCCTCTAGGTTTGGGAAATTCTCTGTTATTATTTCTTTTAATAAACTTTCTATCCCTGTCCCTTTCGCTACCTCCTCATTAAAGCCAATAACTCTTAGATTTACTCTTTTGAGGCTATTTCCTAGATCATGTAGGCATGCTTCATTGTTTCTTAATCTTTTTTCTTATCTCCTCTGAGTACTGTCAATCATTAGCCTGTCTTCAAGCTCATTATTTCTTCTGCTTGATCAATTCTAGTATTAAGAGACTGATGCATTCTTATGTTCAACTGCATTTTTCAATTCCAGAATTTGTTTGATTCTTTTTAATTATTTCAATCTCTTTGTTAAATTTATCAGATAGAATTCTGAATTCCTGCTCTGTGTTATATCAAATTGCATTGAGCTTCTTCAAACAGCTATTTTCAATTCTCTATCTAAAAGATTACTTATCTGTTTCTCCAGGATTGTTCCCTGCTTCCTTAATGTGTTTGGTGTGGTCATGTTTTCTGGATTGTGTTGATGCTTGTGGATGTTCATCAGTGTCTGGGCATTGAAGATTTAGGTATTTATTGCAGTCTGCAGCTTGGGCATGTTTGTACCTGTCTTTCTTGGGAAAGCTTTCCAGATATTTGAAAGGACTTAGGTGTCGTGATTTCAGCCATGTCTGCATTAGGAGGCACTCCAAGCCCAGTTATGCTGTGGTTCTTGCAGACTCAATGGTATCACATTGGTGGTCTGGTTTTTCATTCTTATGAGGGTGATTTTTGTGTAGATAATTGTTAAATTTGGTGTTCCTGCAGGTTGCATGAGGAGGGGAGGATTATCTGTGGAGCCTTCTATTCATCCATCTTACTCCACCTCTAGCATGACATTTCTTGAACTTACCAAATAAATGAATAAATATTCTGTTTCATAGTTTCAGACAGTCGTTTCAGTCAAGATTGCATTTTCAAATGCCATGTATATAAGATCTTCTATGGGATATTAAAACATTCCACCTCAGAAGCAAAGAAAAGATAAGTTATTGAAATATATTAAAGTAGAATTCCAGTATTTCCAAATACTGAGAAAAAGTTCATGTGATGGTAAACTTTTCAACTGTACCAATATTTCTAAAGTAATTCAGCTTCTTTTGTCTTAAATTTTAATATATAATAGTGTACAAATAAGTAAACATTAATGTTTCAAAAATATTTATAATAATCCCTATTATGTGGTTTTTTTCAAATCATAAAACCCTCCTAACATAAAGTAATTCATTGTTTGATACCTAATTCTAAGGCATGCTGAAAGAATGTGTTTCTTAAGGTCCATTTTTATTCTGAATTCTCCATTAAAAGAAACAAGAAAAATAATTTTAAGATTATAGTTGTAAAGAATATACATCATATTTTATAAGCATCATATATTCTAAGTTAGTAGGATCATGATAAAATCCTAAAATCCAACTCTACATGAAGCTGTGTCAGAGCTGCTTCACATTTCATTAGCTTTTTCAATGTTGCACACATTCAAGGAGCCTCTCCATTTTGGGTATTTGCCATCCACTCTTATATTTGGGCTACTAAGTACTCTCTTAGTGCAAGTTACAAAAAGCCAACTAAAACCTGACATGACTAAAGAGTCAAGCCTAGATTCAGAGGTGAAATGACCAAAATGGTCTCTGTCTCTCTCCCTTGTGTCTCTCTCTCCTTGTGTGTGTCTATGTGTTTTAGGTTTTCTTTGTATCTTTATAACCTTTTTTCATAAATTTTTTATAAATTTGAAGTGTATAACATGATGTTTTGATATACACAGTCAATGATTACTACAGCCAAGCAAATTAACATGCCTATCTCCTCATATGGTGTTTGTATATGAGTTTTGGCATTTGTTCTCCATCTGTTGAGTTTTGATCACTTCCATAAGATGAATAGACCATAGACAATTTTACTTATCAGTCCCAGGACAAAGAAAGAGAAACTCACTGTTACCTCTCCCTGTTTCAGTGGGGTGTGTAGGGGGGAGGTGGGGAGGTGGGGAGGTGGGTGTAGAGGAGAAAAGAGGATGGATGGATGTATCTATAAAAGGAGTCTCTGGCTCAATTTTGGCCAGCCCTGAATTAGATGTCTATCCCTTTGACCATAAAGACAAGGTATCTTCATTGACCCCTTCTCTACAGTGGTGAGGGGATAGAAATGAGGGTGGGGCATGGCTAATACTATAATAAAAGAGAAAAGCATGTTAGATAGACAGTAAAAATATGTCAACTACATGTTTTCTCTTACAAAGGTGACTTTGGATATCCCCTTCTAGCCAGTAGATCTCTAAATAATAAGTTATCTCCAGCTTGTGGACATTTTAAATTAGCCTCAGTTACCTATAATTCTTATATAAGTGGGAACAGCATGTTGCTCTCCTTGAGGAGATTATTTCAACCATTCACCAGCAGGTACCATAGGTCCTCAACTAAACCCCCACAGTTCTCACTGGAGATGAGTTCAGAAGAACAGAGAAGGTGTCCTAGGCCATGGCCTGCAGGAGAAGATCACCTGCCTTAATTCCCAGGTGTGTTAAGGGGCTGGAGTTCAGTGTCCAAATAAGACAAGGTTATTACTAAGAAATGTCAAATTGATGAAGGGTCTGAGATCCCCAATTTCCACTTTTGTGTAGTTTTATGTATGACACCTGAATTCTGCAGAAAATGTCCAAGACACTTTCCAACTTAAGTGGCTGAGTTATACATCTTCCTTTAGGTTCCCGCCACTCTTACTTTTAATGGGGGGGAAAGAGGATTATAGGTTCAGAAGGAAGGGTTATTTGAGAGTCCTGGGAAATGAAGAATTGAGCAAGGGAGATAAACTGGCAGTTCATAGAAAGGTATCTTCATGTGTGGTTTACCAAGTTATCAACATGCATACAAAAGGTACTGAGAAGAGCAGTTCAAAAAACAAAGACCACCACCTAAATTAAGCAAGGGAAGTAAACTGATATGGCTTAAAAACATCCAGGCAGGTAACAGGAACTTGTGAAAGTAGCCAAGAAAGCATATATCCATACCATATTAAATGGTGGTGACTGCAGTAACTGGGGCTTACAATTATCTTAAAGTCCTTGTTCATTTTTATGAATGTCTGGATGTCCTGTAGATCTGTGTCTATTTTCCATTTATTTTCCCATAGATTTTATTTATGTAATGTCATTTCCTTCCATTCTTGGTAATTTGAAAGTCAGGATTTTATATGAAATATCATAGAGCTAATTTGAGTCTCTGGATGAGATATCTGGCAGGCTGTTATGGTCAAACATACTTAATCTATTACTGAGCTGCTTCAAAGCAAAGCTTTATGCTTTGTGAAGGTTGCTCTTTGTGAAAGGTGACTACTATGGTCAAAATTTTGTGTTCCCCAAATCTCAAATTTTGAAATCCTAATTGCCAAGGTGATAGCATTAGGAGGTGAGACCTCTGGGAGGTGATTATAGGATGAGGGCAGATCCCTCATGAGGCGAGTTAGTGCCCTTATAAAAGGAACCCCAAAGATATCTACCCCCTTCCACCATATGAGGACACAGCAAAATGGCTATGAACCAGGAAGCATGCCCTCGGGAGACACTGCATCTATCGGCACGCTTGATCCTGCACTTCCCAGCCTCCAGGACATAACAAATAAATTTTTGTTGTTTATAAGCTACCCAATCTATGGTATTTTGTTATAGCAGCCTGAACAGACCAAGACGGTCACTCTTACTCCACGGGTATAGTCCTCCAGGAATACCAATGGAAGCCTTGAGAGTATAATTAGGCCCTCTTTTTGGTAGTCTTTGGAATCTAGTTTCTGACCCTGTGACCTTCTAACAGTTTTGCTCAGCTTCTAATCATCTCAGTAACCTCCTTTAGAATGGGCAGGTGCTTTGATGAGAAAAAGTGGTACCAAATGTCAGTTTAATTTTACCCCTTTCTTCTTTTGAGCTCTTGGCTCCTCAAGCCTTCTTGGTAGCTCTCTAATCCTTTTTGACAGACATTTTTTCTTTAATTTTGTCTAGATTTTCTAGATAGTCTCTTGGAGACAGTTGGTCTATAACAAGCTAGCCCCACCTCTGAAAATTTAAAATTTTAGAGGAAATTTCTTTGATTTTAGAGCCTTTGACTTTTCACTCTTACATTTACAATTTCATAGTCAATGCCACCTAAAAAATACTTATTTTTTATCTAAAGTTTTTTAATGTAAAGTGTTTATCTTCCCCATTTAAATAATATCTTTGAAGGTAAGATTTAAATTGTACACTCCTATATATCCCCTGTAATGTTGGATGATTTCATTGGAATATTGTGGGTATGTTACATAGATATAATGAAGTGAGCATTGAAAAGATTACTTTCTATTTGAAGTTCCAATTTGCTAAGTCCTTCAACATCTCTTCCCCAGCATTTCCACTCTTAGAAGTCTGTGCTACACACATATCTACATGTGCACACACAGATATGTATGAATATATAATCCACTGGCCATGCCCACACAACACTTATTTTATCTCTGAAGAATTTTACTAATACATAATATATAAACACAGGCATATGACATGTGTGTATCACAATCCTTTACAACAAACAATATGTCTGTGTCAACAAACGTGCATTTGTATTTTCTCTGTGCCTTGAGTTCCTAGTCAATGAGAACTTGGCAAAGCACATTCTATTGAAAATCTCAGCCAAAGCTCTAAATGCCTCAGCTAGACTGCTCTACCATTTTATCCAACTTTCAGTATATTCTGCAACAAGTGTTGTTTACTCAGCTGTGGCCTCTCTTTCTGTCATTTACTTTGTGTCTGGCAAACAATATTGACACTAACAGATATGAAAAGCATGGAAGTAATAATGTTGGACCTCTTTCAAAGGGTGAAAAAAAAAGAAAATGCATCATGTTGAACGTTAAAATGCAAGGTTTATCATAGCTTGAGTTGCCTTCTGGGAAATGTTAAAGAATGTTAGAGGGTAAAGACTAACAGATGATTTGGGATTTGTGGAAGTCCTCTGACAAATGAGAAGCATCATAAAAATTACTGCAGCCTGCAGTAATTGACCAAATATTTCATGGAAGGTGTCTGGAAGAAACTAGGGCAGGAGACAGGTTATAATTTAACAGCATATGAAGAGAAAGGAATAACAGTTGCTAAAGTATGAAACGAAAGTGCATCTCTACAGAATCTATGCTTCACAGTCTCTTTAGTGCTCTGTAGCACTGATTCTGCTACAGCTTCCATTTTCATTTATGCTTCTCCACAGGATCTGTCAGAACAAAGAATTCTCCCAAATTCTGATAGGGTCTGTGCGTATGGAGATGTCCACCACAGAAAGGACGGCTTTAATTAACAATGTCAATCTATAAAAAGAAAAACTAGCACTTAAAATATATATGTATATTCTCAATTAAGACAATTTTTAAGTAATAATTTGCAGAAAAACAGTATGATCTTGTGTTTTTTAATGCAAGATCTATATAGCTATTAAACATATTTATATTTACATCTCTATATCTTTATACCATGAAAAAGTTCTAGAAAGGTACATGCTGTTATGGACCGAATATTTGTGTCATCCCCAAATTCATATGTTGCAATCCTAACCCCCAAGAGAATGGTATCATGGAGAAGAGCCTTGGTAGACTATGAGGTCATGAGGATACAGCTGCCATTAACCGGATTAGCGTCCTTATAAAAGAAATCCCACAGAGTTCCCTCACCCTCTTTCCTCCATGTGAGGATACAACAAGAAACCTGGAATAGTGCCTTCACCAGAACTTATCCATGCTGGCACCCTGACCTCAGGCTTTTGGCCTCCAAAACTGTGAGAAATAAATGTTTACTGTTTAAGACATCCAGTCTATTGGTATTCTTTTATAGTAGCCCTGCCAGGAAATGAGCAGATGAGGTGAGGGGGACAAGTAAAATAAAACTATATTTTTAGTTTATATGTATTGTTTGAATTTATTTAACAGTTTATATTTAAATATAGAAGTATATAGAATAAAAAGTTCAGTATCTATTTTGGTTGATGTATCTATTTTGGTCTTATGTGACTATTCAATATTAATTCACATTTTACTTTATTAGTCATCTATCACAATATTAACTTAATTGTAAAATTCAAAAGATACTAACAATAATTATTGTATCATTTTATTTGCTGCCATAGAATTGACAACATATGTCAAGTGGCATATTTATATTCAGAATATCAAGGATGTATTATTGCTAAGCTTGGTGGTAGGGGCTTAAGATCCTATTAACTGAAAACTGCTCTTCTGGCTCAATTTCTGAAGAACAAGCAAATCCTTGTTACCAAGAAAAAAAAAAGAAAGAAAGACGTAAAAAGAAAAATGAGGTTCCATTGAAGATAACTCTTGTTTTTTAAAAATCTAGTTTTATGCTAGAAAAGTAAGTAAAAGCCCCATTGTCAATATATTTCCAAGTCTTTTATAGAATATTGCCCTATGTAATATTAGCTAGCGAAGAAAATCTGTTTACCTCTAATAAGTAAAATTACTTCCCCTAAACTCGACCTTGATACACATTTTATATTTGTCTCTCCTTTTCTTTTTGGTCAAAATGTGGAGATGGGGGTAAATGCAATTTTCCTAAAATATCAGAAGGAGACAGAGAAAAGGATGATGTCTGAAATGCAGATACGAACCTTGGCAATGACCAAATGTCAATCGCTGAAGACATATATTGCCTCTTGAGCATCATTACAAAAACAGAGCATCATTATAAAAGACAGTGCAGCTGTTTCAGGTCCTAATGAAACAGCAATGTAAGATATTTCCTCAATCCCAAACTAAAATAAAAGAGATATTTAAAACACTGAATATCAATAGTTATTGTTTCATTAAACATATTAAAATTTACTTTTTCAGGCTTAATGATGGCCTACCTATTTACTGAGAGAATATTCACCTAGAAATATTGAGATCTCTAAGGTCTCCCACTGGTCATTTCCCCATATCCCACCCCCAAAATCAGTATTCACTAAGAATTACAACCAGAGACATAAAGTTGACTAATTGGAGTTCTTACAAATTTTTATTCAAAACCTATTTTCTCAATATAATTTGTTTCTTCTTTTACTGTTCATGTATTTTAATGGAAGGCTTCAGCTTTTGTTTAATCAAATAACACTGTCAGCTGCATTACCCTGGACAAGTTATGTAACTCTGTAAGCCTCTGTTTCTCATATGTTAGATGGAGATATTAATAGTATCTACTTCATAGAATAGTGATAAATATTAATTTTTATATATATACAGTTTAATTATAAACAGTTTATAACTATATATACATGTATATACCCACACATGCATAGTTAGTTAGAATGGTTCCTGGTACTTAACATTCAATGAATGTTGTTATTTACATAAGGAGTCCAAGAAACCAAACATCTTTGCTCTTAAGTTTCCTCTCTTTTCTTGTTCTTATGCCCAATAGAAAGCATTAGTTGGATCTAACTGAAATCTCAACCTTGACAAGAGGAAAATGTGATAATCCACAGATTCCAGAACTACCTTCTAAAATAGGTCAAATGGGATGAATTGCTTTAGTCAAATGTGCATTGGTTAAATGGTGCATATCTCTAAATTCAGCATTATTTGGGGGAAAATATCATAGGCAAAAAAAATCTCCATGTTATTTCTACCTACCAGTTTTTAAAGCTTTCCTTTATAAACCTTTCAGACTCCATAAAGATGAATAAACAATTAGAAAATTTTCATAGCGCTATTTTTTGTGTCATCTGGAATCACTGAGACACATTTTATTAAAGACAATGAAGAAAACTATTTCCCTATGACAAGAATACTGACCTAATCACCCTCAGGCTTTCTTCTCATTTATAGTTTTTCAATCTTTTGGCTTCAATTGCTTCCTAAAATGTTACTCTTTTCACCTCAAGCTATTCCTAATCAGTGATTTAATTTGACTTTTTCTGCTTTTCAGAGTTCTATGCAAAGAAAAACTATAGCTTGATAGACAATTGCTCCTTCACCTCTATTAAATTCTGAGTTCAAAAAGAAAAAAGCGGTTGCATGAAAATGGTCCAAAATAGCTTATTAATAAACAAAAAATATGTATTTTAAAAACAATATATATTGTGTCATTTTAAAAAAATCCTTGATTGTCATGCTATTTAAGGATGATGTTTTACTGGAAACACCATTTCTGATATACATCTAATCACAGAATAAGTTAAAATAAGGAATTCTTTCGAATCCATAAAGTCATCTCTAGAGCAATTCCTCAAATGTCTGGCTGGATTAACTGGATGCACACATAGTGAAGGCCTTTGCAAATGGCATTGATCAAATATATCACTTACAAAGACAAAAAGAATAAGGCTAAAAGTACACAACTGAGTGTTTTTATATCTGGGAGAAAAGAGACAACAATTAGAAATGATTTACATTAGGAGAATTTTGCTTTATCTCAATAAAAGTAAATATATTGAAGGTTTGTAAATTTAAAGTTACCTAAAAATTAGATTTGTTAATAAACACAGTAAGTAGCAGAAGAATAAACATAGGAAACGACAAAAGCAACCTATGTAGTGCAAACTTACATAGCTCTTTAAGTTACAGGATTGTTTCCTTCTATCTGGCATCAGGTTTCATCAAGATACCCAGAAATATTCACCTTATAGAAAAATGATTAAAGTTGTTCAAGAATTATTTAAAAGTTTTGAGTAAAAAACATAACATGGACTATTCAACAAAAGGTGTTAGGAATGTTAGGAAAATTTACTATTGAAAAAAATCAATATTCTACCCACATCATAAAACACATTAGAATAAATTACATATGTATTAAAGAGATAATCAAATATTAAAATCATGGAAAAGTGATATCTGAAGAGTTCAGAGCTTTCAAGTCACAATATTATTCTACAAAAGCAAACAAATGAAAAAAATAAGTAGATTTAACTACTAAAAAAAATTAATAACACATAAAAAGCTAACATAATATTACACGGCAAACCAAGGAAAAAAATGGTCACCGTAACTACGCTAATAGAATATAAACTCTTATAAATCAAAAAAATTGATTCAAAAAAATTAAGCAAAATTATCAATTAATAAATACTAGTAATAGTTTAATAGCATATAGAATTTTGGCATGGAAATGGTATGGTTGTCATTCTTAACATACTGTGATGATAGCGTTAAGTTTCCACAGCCTTTCCATAAACCCAGCAGTTGTATTAAAAGTTGAAATTTTCAGAACTTTTGACCCATAAATATTTCCTTTAGGAATTTAAAATAGAGAGAAACAAAGAACAATATAAGTACCAAAATTTTATTATTTAATAATTCCAAAAATAAATACAAAGAACCTACATATTTATTATTAGAGAAATGTCTAAATAAAATAAAGAACACACATACTATAAAATACTATGCAACACCAATGGTACTATCACAAAACTATTTAAAAGGCACGAAAATGCTCAGTATATATCGTGAGGCAGAAAAGCAGAAAGACATTAGGAATTTTTTCTTCTTTTAAGCTTCTTACAATAAACATTCATTACATAAAATATTAAAGAAACAATTACTCAATTACCAAGAGAAAAGATATATTTCATAGCCTATTTTAAAAATAGGAGAAATTTGAACAAGCTTTGCTTTCTTTTAAATATATATGAACTTCACATTGTTGATATAGTACAAATTGATTTTTTAAAAATATTTCAGCAGAGTAAGAGAGGTTGCATGTTCCCATTGTGTTTGAGTTGCACAAACAGACAGAATGAGTAGCTTTATGTTATAGTCCTTTATATCACAGCAAACAGAAACCTATTGAATAACTACAGATCCACAAAAGGAAGCAAACTAACAATCACTGGTAGAACAAATAATCCTCAGATGGAATCCAGGGCTGACTTACATCACTGCTGCTCACTCACAAAGAGGAACTTGAGATCTAGTTGAGGTAATCTGGTGTGTCTGAAAAAGAATTCAATCAGAAGGCAAAATTTCATGCCACTCCCTGTTTGAATTTTGCAAGAGGCTCAGCATGTAATCTTGTTTTATTCACTAGCAAACGGGGAAGAGAAAACTTCATTTGCTTAAAGAGAGCCCAAAAGTCTTGAAATATCCTCTAGCTACCTTATGGATTTATTGCAGCACCTGGGTTCCTTCATAAGTTTCTTATTAGGCTAGAACATTCACATCCAATATGCATCAACTGTTCAAAACACATTGTTATTAAAACGACAATGAGGTAAAATGATGTCTTCATAAGGCAATACATATTTCATGGATGGTATTGTGTATAGTTTTTATACTAATATTAATTTAATGAACCTTCTGTTTGTTACAGATTGGCTAATCCATTTTTAATTTCCTATGGTTTGGGTCAGGCCCCTTCGTAATTGGCCTTGAGTCAATTTTGCTGAAATGCAGGGGTTTTTTTGGAGATCTAGAAAATGCGTGTTATTAAACAATCTGCTTATGAAAGGAAATTTCTAATCTGATATCTGTGGCAGATAATGTACCCCTGGAGGGTTGCCATCTGGTTCATGTATTTTTAATAATTTCAAGATTGGGTTACTATAGTTTAGATCTACAGTGTTCTTTGTTTTATTTGGTCTGGAGTTAAAATTAGTCACTGTAAACCCAGAATAAGCAACTCCATACAATTGAAAATGGTATGGGGTGAAGACATCCAGTTGACTTGTAATGGGAGCATGTCGTTAAAGACATCTATGTTTCAAATGCAAGCTCAATTAGAAATCAATACAAAGTAACAAACATTTGCTTTTAAGAATTTAACTAGTTATGACATTTTCCAATATTAGGGTAGTTTTGACTGAAAAGTATTAATACTAAATATTTATATTAGAAATTAAGGGAAAGTCGACAAGCTTAAAGTAATATTTATGTTCCTCCAAAGAAACTATGTGAGAGAATATTAAACCTTCTAAATGATTATGCCAGGCACACTGTATGCTACTTTAACAACTAAAAGACATCCCAATTGACAGTTGAATGTTGCTGGCAAAATGATTCACTCCCAGAGAGAAAACCAGAGTGGAAAATACGAAGAGCATCTTTTTGTGATCTTTTCTCTTTTTTTGCCAGGCAGAAATATAAATTTTTATTTCCTTTTTAAATTTCCTCCCTTCTCTTAATATCTTCCTTAATTCATCACTGGTAGTAACAAACTGCACTTTGTGCTAGTATGGTTTGAAATTAGAAAAACATCTGACAAAATATGTTTACTGAAATTCTTTAGCACGTCATAATTTGATGTATTACCAATTTAAAAATAAAAATTGTACTTAGAAATTATAAATATTAATTTATAAACTATTTATAATATAAATATTATAGTTTTCAGGAGAGAACTTTTAATTCCTTAACAGTGATTGATGTTTATGTGTTGTCTTCCATGTACACATACATGCACATATGCATGCACACACACACACACACACACACACATACTCTTACATAACTGAAATGACGATATGCTTCTGGTAAATACTACATAATTATTTTGTAAGTTAATATTTATTATTCTTTAACAGCTCATGGTAAATGACCATATCATATGGCATTCCATTGATGTGCCATAATCTATTTAACTCTCTGTTGTTTCATCTTTATGTTGCTTCCAGTTTTCCACTTTTACTAATAACACATTTTTACAGAAATATTTATTCAACTTTCTAAATAGATTCTTTGAATAAATCCTAAAAGGGAAAACAATGGGTTCAAGGGGTTCTTGGTACATGTTGCTAAATTATTTTTCATAAAGATTCTAACAATTTTTACCCTGGAAGCAGTAAGTATTACTATCATTTTTAAAAATACATGTTACTTTGGTGTTTATCAATGATATTGGTGATAAATTGGTATTACCTTGATGGCTAGTGAGCTTTGACACAATCCCACATGTATGCTCACATATACTTATTCTTCTATAAATGTTTTGTTCATGTTCATTTCTCAGTTTTTGGAAATTTGCTCTTTCATGTTTGTCTTTTCTCTATTTATTGACATTTATCTTTCCCACGGCTTTAAGGTGGAAAAAGAAACATGACATGTCCGTTATGTTGTATGGAATAAGAAGGAAGGTCAGGGAAAGGCTTCACGTCATCCCTCAATTTCAGGCCTGGGGAGTTTTCTGCACTTCAGAGCTTAGGGACCATCCAAAAGAAAATAGTATAAAAAAAAAAAAGGCAAGAGGAACTCAGAAGTAGAATAACCTATTCTAGATAATAATTTATATAACTTTTATTTTATAGATAATGGAATTGAGGCATGTAAAAGCTTGTTAATGATAAGACCAAGACTAGAGCTGAAGCCCAGGTCATCTGACCACAGATTTACACTGATTCACATTTGGAAAGACAGAATCTCCTAGATCCCTTTGGCACTGTGCCTCAGGTCTGTCCCAGTCAAAGCCAGAGTCCATCCTTGGTTTGAAGTGGGGAAGAAAGAGTGTTGAGTCTATACAGTGGGGAACACCACCAAGTTACTATGTTTTCTTCCCTACTTTTCTTACAGTTTACTATTTTATTGATGTGCAAACTGTAATTAATGTACTGAGAAATTCTGGCTGATATTGTCCTGGGTTGAAGATATGGTCGTATTTAAGGCCAACTCATTGCACCAGAAGGCAGCATGACAAAAGCTGATGTGAATAGGACTCTTCCAAAAATGGCAATGATACAAAGTTGATTAACAAGATTTTTTCCAAAAACCCATTAAACTATCAATTCTAACGTGCTGATATTTAAAGAGGAATACTCGATAGCACAAAGATAAATTACAGTAATTGAATCAAAGTGCAATCAGCAAATGTTTGCACTGAGAACCCTCCGGTTTCCTCAACATTCCTGTCTTTGATGTCTAACTGGAAGTTTCCAAATCTACAGAGTAAAAATAGTCAATATTCCTACAGGTTTCTGTTTCTTCTTGCACAAGAGAGATATAGGTTATACTGTATATTTCAATTACAGTCATTTAGATCACTGTGTAGAGAATTCTGAATCCACAACAGGGACCATCAGAGTCCCAATGAGCATTTGACTATGTCTACCATATGTCCAGCAGAAGGAAGCAGCAGTCAAATATTTTTCACATCTCTGTGCCATCATCAATAGGCAGAAAGTGACATGACAGAGACCGTGATTATGGGCACAAAAAGAATAGAGATCAATTAGTTTCTCTGTATTGTGGGTTCAATAGTCTTAATTAAACCACATTCCTGGTCCTGTTCAGGGATGCCTTCCAGAAAAATAAAAGTCATCTTGAAACCTCCTTCCCATGAACATAGGACCTAATTGTTAATATCATTTAAAGAAGTAAAATTCCTAACTTCACTTTTCAGTTATCTCCCTTTGTGTACTGATATCAAAATTGCCCTCCAACATTTCAAACATATGGTACAGAAAAGACTTTACTGGTTCTCCACAGTTCATAGTGAGTGTAACTTACATGAACAATCAGCATAGATGTAACTACAGCCCTTAATTCATTCCTCTTACCAGAAACACTGATGGTTGCGGTTATAAAGTGTTAACTACTGCTATCTCTTAAATAAAATGAAAATGTAACCCAAAATAAGAATTATATCTTTCAAGGAAAATAGTTTATAAATGTAATACAAATATAACCTTAAAATAACTTTCACATTTCTCAACGAATAGAAATTTATATTTTTTAAAACATGCAATTTACTAAGAGTTCCTATAATCACAGCAATTCTCATATTAGCATAGAGCACATGCTCATAACTTTGTAGTCTGGCAGTTTATCGAACTAGTCTTTTTTGTTGTTGTTGCTATTTAGATCTTGATTTTAACATTCATATATCCTAAAAGAACATGAGTGAATAAATTGAGTTTGATTCTTTAGAGGTAACTTCATATTCAACCCATTATCCCTTTTTGAAGAAAACTGCATCCATATATTAGTATTCACAGCACACATACTACAATTTTCAAGGCACGTGTCAGACCCATGGAAGAAAATAATTCATTACGATGTCTGTGAAAATAGCTCCTGAATCCATTCACCCAGATTTTCTTTTCTGAGTTTCTGATGCACATTTCCAACCTTCTGGTAGGCACCTGCATCAATATCCAATGTCCCTATTTTTATTACAGTATCACTAACCACTTTTAACCAGAAAACTCTTCTGTTTTTTTATTCTTCCTTTTCCCATTTATCCTGTATGTAATAAGTCACCAAGTCTTCTTCATAATATTATACTCATCATTCCTTTCATTCCTGTGGCCCCACCCTAATCACCATAGTAACCACCAAATCAGGAGGTTGAATCCAATCATAAGTTCTATCCTTTCTGGGTTACAGAAAGCTCAAAATAAGTATTAGGTATATAAAATGCAGGCTCACTTAGCACCTCAATTTAAAGACTCCAAGTCTAAGTCGTCTCGTAAAGCAGCTCTCGCCACCTACTGTCACACCTGTGACCATGCTAAATGCTGAGGCCAGTGGTAGAAGCAGCTTGCAGAGAATTCAAGCTTACAGTCCTTCCTTTGTTTTTATTCATAAGCAGCTGTGAGAAATGTTCCATTGGCAAGGGCCCTGTCTCAACAATGATGGTGCCTCCTGAGAAACTCCTTAAAATTTGTGAATGCACACCTTCCTCCCACCACCCCAGGATCCTGAAGAAAGGTGTTGAAAAGACACTGCTCAACAGAAGATCTTAAAAGAGAGTCCACCTTCTTGTAATCTTACATGAAAAATGATATTTGTCACACCTTGCATCCAGAGCTTCTGAAATACAGCCACATTATCCAATGAAAGAAACCATTGATCTTTGTAGAAATGGTCACTTCTAGGATTGGGGCAGTAAATATAAAAGATGAGCCTGGAGCACTGTATAGTGGCAGAGTGAGGAAGTGCCCCCAAAAATGACAATGAAGGAGATTTCCCAATGGGACATAGGGAACATCAGACATGCATATTTAAAAGATAATGTATGATGTACAGATCCAACAGACAATGTTGGGAGTGCAGATCAAAGGCTGCACTGTTAGGTCATGCCATTGATGAAGAGCATCATGATCTTATGAGCTAACCTAATGATTGCCTGTCTGGAATAAGATCAGCATACATGTACCAGCTGCATGAACTATCCTACAAGTTATCTGAGCATCACCATGGTCCAGTTACACTCTGAACTTCAAAAAAACACAGGGAGGAATAAAAAGGACCTCATCCAAATTGACCCAGACTCTTCAGTTGTAATGACAGCAGAGGCAAAATGGGCTTTGTGATTCATTCTGCTGAAGGAGAGATCTTTTTAGGGGTAATTTTTTGTACAAAAGTCCCAATAACAGCTCATGTGGGAATGTAGGTAGAATATATGTGGAGGTGATATAGCTAACTCCATTCTCCCATCCTTCATTGAGCTCCTTTCAGGACTTTGTACCAATACATGCCTTTGAACTGAGCAGGAAACTGTTTCTGCATTATGCAGGATTCACTGAGAAACACAAAGCAAACATAGGCCCCTATGTGCCTTCTCTACTGTGAATAAACAACAGATCCAATAGTAAGAAGAATAATTGTATTATGTTTCTGAAAATTTCATAAGGAAATGAGTCTCTGGTTAGTAATTAGATGAGTTTGCATCTTATGATGATGCTATAATTCTTGCATTATAACTGACCATATTATAATATTTTGGACTTTACAAAGAGAGGGAAGAGGTAGGACCTCAGACCAAAAAAAAAGTTCAAGGTATCATCATCCTTAACCTCCCTCATCCGTCTGGAGGTTGAGAGAGGCAAGTGTCCAAAGGGGCATGCTCAGATGATGGAGTTAGTAAGGGAAGGAACTTGTCATGAATATATTTTGCCTGAGGGAATAGATTAGGTCTGGCAATCTAGAGCAGGGGTGGGCAAACTATTGGCCTGCAAGCCAAATTTGGCTCTGCCTGTCTTTCTAAAGCTTTACTGGAATTCAGCCCCTTATCTGAATATTGTCTATGGCTGCTTTCACACTACCACTACAAAGTTGAGCAGTTGCAAAAGAGACAATATGGTCCACAAGTCTGAAATACTTACTACCTGCCCCTTTATAGAAAAAGTTTGCCAATATGTGATGTGAAGAGCAAGATGCAAATCTTCTGGATTATCCACATTTCTTATATTTCCTATGATTTTTTTCCTTTTTATTCCTGATTTTTTGGAATCAATATAGAAAAGCACTCAACCTCAGTTAAACTACAGTAAAACAAGAATAAAACTTGGACCAGCAGGTTAAAGAACAAGCTGCACACCTGGAACCTGTAATGGGGATAGCAAACAACTCCCAAGGGGGTGGCGAGAGCTTTGTGTGAAGCTCACATCCCTACCACAGGCTTCACCTCTGGGGCCAACCTCAGAAGGCAGCGTTTCTTTACATATTCTGCCTTTACATCATGTAATTAATTATATTTCTCATCTGCTTGTGAAAAAAATAAGAGATGTTTACAATAATAAACAAAATAGAATCATTTTTAAAGAAAATTTTAAAGGAGATCCAAAGTCACAGACTAGCTTTTTACTGAGAATCATATTCCCAGTTGGCCACATGTTTAGAACAAGTTATTTCTCCAAACCACTGTGGCTGAGACCGTATTAACCTAATCAGGATACAGTCTGCCAGATGTTAATGATATTTACAGTCCTGGATTCTGTTATAAAATATGAATGGCCATCGTGTGTATTCAGCAGTGTTAGCTCTCGTTCCCTCATTATTTATTCATTTATTCAGCAAACATTCACTGAACACTTTCTCTGCACAAGCCCCCTGTCCTGGACTTACATTCTCTGTGAAGTTTTCCGTTTGCATCAGGTGGCCTCCTCATGCAGCACTGAAGCAGTTATTTTACTTTGTAGTTCACTTATCTGAAAATGGAGGTTTTCAGATGTATATGAGATAAAACTATCAACAAGGTGCTGGCACCCCTATTTTGTCAACATTGAAGAGCTCAGACAACATTTCACCCATGCTCCCTGCCTCTTAAAAATTAGCTTCCAAGTAGAGAAAACCAGCAATCAGCCAAAAGGAAAACAGTAGATACTTGATATAGGAAATTTCTTTCATTTTTGAGGGGACTGTCAGAAGAAAGAAGCCTCAGAGGAGAAAACAGAAGAAGCACACATTAGCTAAATATTAGACAAGTAAATAGGAAAACAGTAAAGTGTCTATTCACCGTACCTAGAGAAGCATTATACTGTACAGAAAGTTCTTTTATAGTCTCTCCTTGAAAACGAGGATAAAGTCAGTAAGTAAAGACTTGTGTCAGCCAGTATATCACCATTCCTTCAACAACTATTGATAAGAGCATCATTATTGGTATACCTAAGTAAATTGACCCCCAAATGATCATTTTTCTCTAGAGCCTTGCTTGTTCAGCCTGTAAGTAGATTGTCCTCAGATGCCCTATCTACTCACCCTGCAGGGTGAGTAGAACTTCAGATATCCTGGTGAAAGTTAACATGAAAGCCCTTTGCTGTGGAAACAGAGCCCATATGGATGTGCCATGTTGAGTTGGTCAAATGCATTCTACTTTGCCAGGAGTAAGAACGAGAAGGAGTTTATGAAAGTAAGAGTTAGTGTGTTTGCTTGAGTCTCCAAGGTGACCAAGGGAGAGATGAGGGAAAAGTCTGATTTAAGTAAATGCTTTTGAAAGGAAATAAGAAAAAGGAGTGAATGTGACTAAAACCATACAGGCTGATTATATGTTTAAATAAAAGGAAAGAACTCCAACTAGATTTCATTTTTTATTGTTATAACTCATACTTAGCTTTCCATTCAAAGCTTCCTAGACTATACTTAATCTGAAGAACCAAATACACTTCAAGTTAAGTATTTAGCTTTAATACAAAGTTAGTCACTGTGTAATTACTGAAAAGACATGTTTATAACTATAGAGCAAACTACAAAACCCTTTAAAACTCCTTCCATGCTGAGGAAAACATTTATTTCTTCTAGGGTATCATTTTTTCAAACTGCTTTTAGAATCTAACTGCTTGCTAGGTTTTTGTGGAGATTTTCATAAACAAAGCAAGGTTACAAATGGTTTTGTGAAATTCTGTAATTTACCAGAAGATATATTTATGACTCATTTCCTTTTATTTTTCTGCCTCCGAATACATTTTCATCCACATCATGCTACTCTGAAGTTTTCCTCCAAAGCAACTGATGAGTGAACCATTTGTTGAGTAGATATTTATTGAATAGCTTGCAGTGAACACAGTACCTGACAAATAGTCAATGCTCAATAAAAGGTCACTGAATGCATCTTGAGTATGTGTCCATTGCAAGGGCACCTCATATCTCTTTGGGAATACAAAGTATATGAAATATAAATTCTGTCTCTGCAAAGGATCCAGGAAATAGAAGATACTATGAAAGTCGTATAGAAAAATCGTCATGGAAATTCAAAATAGGAAGACTACTCTGTTGGGGATCTCAGAGAAGTATTTCTGATAAAGAAATCCTCTGCACTTGAGCTAGAAGGATGTTTAGCTTTAGGTCTTTGGAGATGTAGGACAAGGTCATCATGGGCTGATATATAAAGGCACAAGCACAGGGTTGTGAAATACATACAGAACCTCAGTTCCCAGAAACAGATACAGCATTATAATGTGTGCCACTGAGACTGAAAGGAAGAATAACATAAAAGACAAGAAAGAAAATTATCAATGCAATAATTTTAATATGTTTTATTATTTTAACTAAATTGTATTAAGCACCTATAAGATCCAAGAACAAGTTATGCAGAGACAAGTAAAACAAAATTTCTGCCCTCGAGTTTCTCACAATTTAATAGTGGAAACCAAATACATAATTCGATGTTTTCCATATAAGCACTATAATAAAAGGCACAAAGTAGGGACATCTAATTCTGATTGAGGTGGGATGTCAAGAAAAGCTTTCCAAGAAGATAAACAAAACTCAACCTTGAAAGATATAAAGCAGTTATGAGGCAAGTAAGGAGGAGTGGATCAGGGAGTTCCTTCAGACAGGCAAGGAGCTACAAGAGCAGGCAGTGATTTGAGATTCCTTCCATTGTATGCATGTATGTATGTATTTTAATTTTTTTTTTTTTGAGACCAAGTTTCGCTCTTGTTGCCCAGGCTAGAGTACAATTGCATGATCTCAGCTCACTGCAACCTCCGCCTCTCGGGTTCAAGTGATTGTCCTGCCTCAGCCTCCCAGTAGCTGTGATTACAGGCACCTACCACCACATCCAGCTAATTTTTTATTTTTAGTAGAGACAGGGTTTTATCATGTTGGCCAGGCTGGTCTTGAACTCCTGACCTCAGGTGATCGCCCGCCTTGGCCTCCTAAAGTGCTGGGATTACAGGAGTGAGCCATTGCTCCTGGCCCTCAATTGTATTTATTACAACACACTCCATCCGATGTTATTAACTACAGGAAGAAGAAACAGAAAGTGTGTGTGAAAGCAAGAGTTAGTATGTTAGCTTGAGTCTCCAAAGTGATCGAGAGAGATGAGGGAAAAGTCTGGTTTAAGTAAATGCCTTTGAAAGGAAAGAAGAAAGAGGAGTGAATGTCACTAAAATCATAGAGGCTGATTACTTGTTTAAGTAAAAGGAAAGAACTCCAAGTAGATTTCATTATTTGCTTACTGTTATAACTCATACTTAGCTTTCTATCCAAAGCTTCTTAGTCTATACTCAATCTGCAGAATCAAATACATTTCAAATGAAGTGTTTAGCTTTAAAATAAAATTAGTCACCATGTAATTACTGAAAAGACATGTTTCTAACCATAAAGCAAACTACCAAATTCCTTAAAACTTCCATGCTGAGGAACATGTTTATTTCTTCTAGGGTATTATTTTTTTCAAACTTCTTTCAGGCTTAACAGTTTAACTACAAATCCATTTAAAATATTTGCCTTATTAACACTTGCTTTATAAATAGTACATTAAAATTTTATTCACTTAACAAATATTTATTGAAGCAAGCTTCTCTACACAGTGTTATCTGTTTTTTTCTTCCTCTCTGGCTTTTCTCGTGTTGTTTTATCTGGCTGGCAAGTCAATCGCCTCCATCTTCACCCATCAAACTTTTATCCACCCATCATGGCCTAGCTGTATTCAAAAGCCATCGCTTTAATGAAATCCTTACCTATATCTCAAATTCTTCCTATATCTGCTGAGTACCCAATATACTTTATTTGTACTCCCTTTTTTATACCTACCACATTTTTTCCTGAATAATTATTTTATACAGAAAATTTTGTAAGGACTAATAATGTGTTTTTTTACTATTTTTATTCTTTACAACACTAAAACAATGCTTTGCACTGCTACCCTTTGCTAAAATGATTCGCAAGATTGTTCTAAAATAAATCAATTAAATGTATGGGTCAATATTGCCCCTATTTCCACATATGTGTGTGTGTATGTGTGTGTGTATAATTACTGAGAAGACGTTTTCATAACTGTAAAGAAAGCTAAAACTCTTTTTAAGACTTCTATGCTGTAAAATTATTGTTTCTTCTAGGGTATCATTTTTTCAAACTGTTTTCAGGCTTGTTAGATTTTTCCGAAATTTTTCATCAAGAATCAAGATTTCAATGTTAGATTGACAGATCTGAAAGCTTCTGTATTTTACCAGAAGAAAGTCAGTAGTAACTCGAAATAGTTCGTTATAGATAAATGTCATGATCCCTAGGGTAATTACTGAAAAATGCAAGAAAATATAGCTAAAAAGACAACAGAACTTTAAAATTATACACTAAAAGTATTTGTCTGAAGCAAAAAGAGGGCAAAAAATAGAAGTAGTAAAACAAAAAAGCAGTATCAGATACACTGGATATTGAATTAAAAAGCAATATCCAGTATATGCTGTCTACAACAAACAGCAGTAAGATATAACAACTTTAAATTCATAAGCATTTAACACATAAAGTAAAAACTGACAAAATTGAAAAAATAAATCAGCAATTATACTTAAAGACTTTAATACTTCTCAGTAAAAAATTTTTAAATATACCAAAGATCAACAGATATAATGTACACCATGGTGACTATAGTTAATAATTACTGTTAATAATCAACTGTATTGTTTATTTGAAATTTGTTAAAAGTGTCGACCTTAAGTATCCTCACCACAACACATACAAAAAAAGATATAAATATTTATGATGAATGTATTAATTTGATTGTGATAATTATTTCACAGTGTACACATGCTTCAAATCATCACATTGTACGCAGCTTGAATATATACAATTTCAATTTGTCAATTATACTTCAATAAAGTTGAGAGAAAAAGAAATATCAGTAAGGATATAGAAGACTTGAACAACACTGTCAACTAATTTGACATAATTGACACCTATAGATTGCTCCTCCTTACATGGGAGAAGACATAAATTATCAGTATCAAGAATGAAAGAGGGATCTTCATAGCAGATCTTACAGACATCAACAGAATGAAAAGGGAAAACTATGAACAAATTATACCAAAAAGTTTATTTTCTTAATTTCTTAAAAGGCACAAAATTACCAAAACTGTCTGGAGAAGAAATTTAAAAATAGACCTCTATAAGCAAGGCCAGTAAATGAAATTAGTTATATCTGTAAATCAATTAATGTAATAGACAATATTAACAAAATAAAATGAAAAACCAGTATGGTAATCTCAATAGACATTGAGAAAGAGACACATATGTAACAATTAAAACTGTGACACTTCTAAAGGCAGACATAAAAGATAGTTTTTATTATCCTGAGACAGGCAAACACATTTTGGATAAAATAAAAAAGCCTGAACAATAAAAGAAAAAAATATATCAAGTGGACTTCATCAAAACTTTTGTTCACCTAAAGGCACTGTTAAGAAAGATACAGATTGGTAGAAAATATTTACAAAACATATCTGACAAAATGTATCCAGAACATAGAAAGAACACTTAATAATAAGGAAGCAATTCAATAAAATGGGCAAATGATTTGAATGGATACCTCACAGACAGAGAGAGAGAGACTCAGAGAGAGAGAGAGAGACTGACTCAGAGAGAGAGAGAGAGAGATTCAGAGAGAGAGAGAGAGACTAAGACAGGGAGAGAGAGAAAAAGAGGGAGACATGAATGGCCAAAAAGCCAGTAAAAAGATGCTCAACATCACTGGTTATAAAGGAAATGCCACTTAAAATCACAATAAGCTACCATTGCACATATAGCTAAATAGCTAAAATTATGTCGACTGACAATATCAAGTGTTGACAAGGTGAAGCAACAGAAACTCTTATAAATTGCTGGTGGGAATGAATAATTTTATGGCCATTTTGGAAATCAGTTTGGCAGTTTCTTCAAAGTTAAATGTAAATCTACTGTATGAACCAGCAATTCCACCCATAGGTATTTGCCCAAGAAAAATTAAAGCATTTATCCACACAAAGACCTTTACACAAATATTTATAGCAGCCTTATTCCTAATAGGTAAAGAATGAAACAATCCAAATGTTCATCAACTGGTGAGTGGATAAACACAATGTGAAAAAGCCGAACAAGGAAATATAAATAAGCAATAAAGAGAAAAGTACTGCTATACACGATTAAGCCTGAAAAGTATTATGCTAACTGAAAGAAGCCAACGGGACACATACTGTATGATCCCAATTATATGATATTTTAGAAAAAAATAAAACTATGGCAAAAAGAGTTGACCAGAGGTTCAGAATATGATGTTTGACTGTGAAGGGATATGAGTCTGCTCTCTGGGGGTGATGAAGATGTTCTAAACTTTGACTATTTTGATAGTTGAATGGCTTTACATATATGCCAAAACTCATTGACTTTATTCTTAACACATGTGTCTTGCAGTATGTAACTTATACATCAATAAAGTTATAAAAAATACATATAATACTAAATAAATAGCCTCAGTTTTAAGCAATTGTCCCTAAAAACCAAGTAATTGTTGCATGTCATGTTGCTTTTGACAAACTGATGGTGAAATTTTAGCTTTGATAAGGATGACATCAGGTAACTTTATATTATATAAAAATAATCCACAGGCTCAGAAGTAAAGTAATAAATATTTAATTAAAGTTGAAAATCTTTTATAGTATTTGTCAATTTTGGTAACAGTTCATATTCTTAAGACATGACAAAAACTTGAGCATGACTTAAGGGAAGATCATAGAAAGAGAAGAAATCACTGCAACAGCTGCATACGGAGAATTAGGTAGAAGATAAAATGAGTGGAGCTGGGAATATTTATCTATGAAGAAAGTATTAGCTACTCCAGAAAACAAAGGGAAGACATAGAGGAAACCGAGAAAGTCTGGAGGTCAGGAAATCAGAAAACTGATCACTGGAATTTAAGCTACCCAGCAATTGACTTTGATTCTGGTTTGCTAAGTGATAATGAAAGAATACACATTTGAGGGAGTATATGGAGAAAACAGCTAAACAGTGGGGGAACTATGAAATACAAAGGAAATAGCTTCAGGATATTAGAAAAGGAAATCTGCACGAGAAAGAAGCTCTGGTGCTCCAAGCCACAAAGGTCAAATATTATGCAGGAATATTCTAATATTAATCCCCAGTTAAAATTCTATTTTTGAATCTCATTACCAAAAACTCCACAGTACGTTCACTTTTTATTTCCATTCAACAAATCCTGGAAATCAAAAGTCTTCCTAGTTTAATAAGGAGTTGATGTGACTTAAGAAATAGGAAGAATCATCAGAATCAGCTATCAACATTTAAGGAGCTATAAGTATGCACCTCACCCTTTTCTTATTCATGAAATCTTTGTGTCTATTTAGTATGTGTGTTGAAAGATTGGATAGGTTTTCCTAAGCAAGTGCTTGGGATAGCAGAAGCCTGGAGTTGGAAATCAATTGTTAGTATTGCTGCTAAAAGGTCCCACTCTTAACCAATTCTTGCATTCCATTCTGCAAGCCTCTCTAGAAGTCTCTAATACCAAAAGTTGAGCATTGTGAAGACCCAGCTCTTCTCTTCATTTGAAGTTGAATTTCTCACATACTAATTTTTGTTAACCAGCTTCCAACATGTGTAAGAAAAAATCAGAGATAAAAGAGAAAAAGGCTTGTTACAGTAGATAAAGCTCTGGACTTGAAACCATAAATTTGGTTCAAGTTCCACTGACTTCCATCAGTTTATAGAAATGTACATCCTATGTGTTTTCAAGGTACTCTGTTTATCCATTAAATATAGTTTTCATTATTGTAGTATAATCACTTTTTTACTTGTCCTTTCTGCCCCCCAAAATTATAAACTCCTTGAAGGCAATGATTTTCTCTGTTATTACTGAATCCTTCCCACCCAGGAGAGTGTCTGGCATGAATGGTGAAATAAATGACAGTAAACACATCACCTCACCTCTCTGAGTTTCATTTTCATATCTGAAACTTAATATGAAACCAGTTTCTTTTCAGATTATTTTGAGGTTTGATATGTAGAAATATAATGAAAAAATTCATCATAGGTGGAAAGTTACACAACTCTTTATCATATATATTCATCCAACAATTTAAGAAAAACTCACTCTATAGCACATAGTTCATGTTGCAGCAAGTACCACTGCAGTGGTATGTCCAAGAAAATAGCTTCAAGCTCTAGTTGACAACCTATCTATCTAAGCAATGAGTTAAGCAGATAAATCCAGAAAAATATGAACTTTGGAAGATCCTTTCAAATTGTAATAGAAATTGCCTGGCAGCCAGATACAAAAGAGGAAGTTAGCATTTATCTGTGGCTCCACACTTCCACAACCTGAGGATAAAAGAAGCCAGATATAAAGTACATGCCCCAAAGAAACTGTCAGGGTTGTTTTTCCCCGCCCTCCCATCCCCCGCCCTAAAGACACACAGTGAAGTGTTAGATATCTTACAGAGGGTTGTATATGAATACAGACATCAATTTATTCACCCATCTTCCTTCTAGTTAATCCATTCAACCAACGACATTAAATATCCATTCAAAAAAGTCTATACATATGTTTTGAGTATCAACCAGGTGCCAAGGTCCCAGTTTAAAAAAAAAAAAAAAGACAAGTAAGGCATACTCTGTACCTCAAAGGCACTCACAAGTAGATAGGGGAAAATTATGAATTTGTATGCACAGGAGCCATGCTATTTGTTTTAGTATTTGGGATGCATCATATACATACATATATGTATATATTATTTTAATATGTTTATATATAATTTATATATTTTATATATAATTTATGTATTTTATATATAATATATATTTACATTTATATATAATATATATTTATATATATTATATATGGCTATAGAGCATTTTGGATGCTGGTTGTAGCATCTTATTTGCAAGTGCAGAATTTTGTTCTGACAAGATTACAAAAATATTCTTAATAGAGACCTTCCATGTCACCTAAAAAGTTGTTTTCTGTTTTCTTGAAAATGATGTCCAGTGGAAAGTATATGCCTTAAAGGGTTTTTATCTGTTCACTAAGCCATTAGCCAATTATATATAAAATAGCAGGTAAATATATCCTGTAAATGGTCCAAGGATGAAAACATGTATACATTTTACTGCCAAATATAAAACATTGCACTCTTATTAGCCATGTTCAAAGGGAAGAATGATTGTCTTATTTACTGTAAATGACCATGTTTTAGTTGACCTTGTAGCCCCATGTCTAGTATAGTGCAGACACTCAGCACTATTCATTCATATGAATGAATGAATGAAAACATTGGAATGTTAACAGCCAAGATTTATAAGTGAGCACTAACTCAAATGGAAAATAAATTACTATCAGCCTAATTAGGGAACCTTTGTTGTAGAGCCCACTGCTTCTCATTCTCATCTATGAAAATACAATAAGATGAAATAAAGGGAAATCTGTAGGTCAAATCCAGACTACTCCAACTGAGAAAGTAACATAATTCTTTGAAATTCCCCTATAAAAGGAGGATAAAAATATATAACATTTGAAAACATCTACCACAAAGAGCTGCTGTTCCATGCATTTTAACTGATATTTTAGAAATAAAATTTTTAGGGATTAAAACCCTGCCACTGCTATTGTGCCACAGAAATAATGCACTGAAACTCAATCCAAAGTCATTTATCCTGAGGTCATTTTTATATCATTAAGAACATTTTCAAGGACATATATGAAAACACTAGTTGTAGAAGAAAATGTTACCTTGTTTCTCTCTCTCAAATCAGCCAAGTACTCTCAAGTGCTCTTGATGAGATTGGAGAGATGCTGTCTACATGCTATAAGAAGACATGTAAGCTTATTTCTGGCTCACAATACATTATCAGCCTACCTTAGGAACTGGAAACATCATCTTTGAAACTAATTGTTTAGATTAAAGCATTGTTGTCAAAGGACATTGCCAAAGGATCATCTTTGACTTTCAATCTAGACAGCTCTGAGTTCCTGACTTCACCCAACTTTTCTAGTTGAAACAAGCAACAAGAACAGATAAAATATAAACAGATAAAAAGAAGGAGACAAAATTGGCCATTTCAGCAGATCAGATACAGAACAAAAATAGTGGACCTCATGTCCAGGTTTCATGGCCTCCTGTCAATAGTAGTCATGGGGATTGCATTCCTAGGGATCAATGAGGACTAAAAGGGTTTTGCATAAGATAGGGGACAAGACTCATGCTCACTCATGCCTCAGGCGACAGGGTAACAAAGACACAGCCTCACAACCAGAAACTGAGACAAGCCAGCTGCTAGCTCTGTGACTGGATTCCCAATGTTTGCAGTATCATCACGTAACAAGAGCACTAAAATACCATTGAAAAACTGGTTATAGATGAGTGCCTTGGTGGCAGATTGAAGGCAACTGAAAACTTGCTAAATATAAAAGACAAAGGAAAAAAAATTAAAATTCAACCTCACACCATGTGCAAAAATAAATTTCAGAAGTATCAAAGACCTAAACTAAATGGAAAAGATGGAAAAAGAACAAAATATATGGGAAATTCCTATAGTTTCTGGTCAATTTTTCTGTTAATCTAAAACTGCTTTAAAAAATAAAATATTTTGGGAAAAAGAACAAATTATAGATAAATACCTGAATGACTTAGGTTAGTGTCATACAATAAATGACTGAAACAGGTTGGAGTCAGGATATATTTTGAAAATGGAGTCAACAGGTCTTGAAAATATTTGGGAAATGAGGAACAGTCAAGATGTCGCCAGTGTTTTTTGCCTGAGCAACAGAAAAATAAAATACTAAATTGTGAGTTGGGAAAGACTATAGGAGAAGCAGTCTGGAGAGGGAATATAAGGTCTTAGTTTCAGGCAAATTAAGATTGATGTTCCTGTTTGACCTCCAAATAGAGGTGAAGAATAGCAAGTCAAATATATAAATCTAAGCTCTGTGGAAAAATCAGATCTGTAAATAAAAATCTGGAAGCCAGAAACATATGGATATTATTTAAAGCCATGGAGTAGGTGAAATTGTCTAGGAAGTGAGAATAGTTTAAAAAAATGGTGAAGGACTAAACTCTGAGGCATTCCATCAATTAGAGATTGGGAATAGTAGAAAGGACCAGCATAGGAGACTGAGAGTGAGGAAAATAAAAGGAATTCAGGAGATCTTATCCTGGGAGAATTCAGGAGATCTTATTCTAGGATAATTCAGGGATCTTATCCTAGAAGCCAGCTGAATAATTTTTCAAGAAGAAAAAAATAATTATGTCAGAATCCTCTGAGAGAGGGTAGAATGGAACTTGCCAGGACCTTGGGGAGAGGGGAAATGGGGAGATATTGGTTGAAGGATACTAAGTTTTAGTTATGCTGGATAAATAAGTTCTGGAGATCTGAGATCTAATATAGAGCAAGGTGACTATACCTGGCAATAATCTATTGCACACTTGAAATTTACCAAAAGGGATGATTTTACGTGTTCTCGGGAAAGAAAGAAGTAAAGAAAGAGAAAAACAAAGGGAGAGAAAGAACATGGTAATTATGTAAGGTAATGGAAATGTTGTTTGCTTGATTTAGATGTCATTTCACTATGTATATGAATATCAAAACATCAAGTAGTACACTTTAAATATATATAATTTATTTATCAATTAGGTCTCAATACAGCTGGGAAAAAAGAATTTACATACTAATTAGGAGAAAGCAAAAAGTTTCTGAGAAATCAATTAAGAACTTGGAATTAACCATGGATGGCAATAACAAATGTGGTTAGAGTGATGAAGACACAAGTCTAAGTGGAATATGATAAAGAGAGACAAGAAAATAAGGGGGTCAAGGTGATAGGTTTACGTAGCTCCTTCAGGGAACTTTTCCACAAAGAACAGAGAAATTAATCAGTAGCTGAAGAGGAAGAACAGGAAGAACTTTCTTCAAAGATAGGAAATACGCCATTTTTAAGCTAATAGAAATGTTCATTAGAGAGGAAGAAGTTGATGATGCAAGACAGAGAAATTAAAATTATAGGAGTCAAGTCAGCAAACAGGGAATAAAATTCGGAGCACGGGAGGGTCATTTGGCTTTACATAGGAGTGGAATAGTTCTTCTGTTGTGGCGTATATGCTTTCGATTGATATTCCAACTTTGTATAAAGTTATTTTACTTTTGAGTGATTTTTAAGATAAGATGCCTAGTTGAATCTTATGTGTATCTACATAAGGTGCCCACATATTTGGAAATTACACAAACACACACACACACACACACACACACACACCAGAAGTCAGTGTCTGGCTCATATTTCTCAATTAAATCAGGTGATCGATCCTTGGGGAATCACTCAACTTTCAGAAAAAACGTCCTTCAAATTGGTTGTTTCTGTGCCTATAAAAAAAATACTCACGTGGAACTCATAGTTTTCTATGCACTGTTATCTGAGCTGAATTAAAATTCGATGCAGTGTTTGGAAGCTTAAGATTTCCCATTTTAAAAAATGGAGGGAAATGTCTTCGAGCATATGAAACTGAGTTTGGGGATCAATATTGACTTGAGAAATGTTTTAGTTTTTTTCTTGAAAATCTTGAATTTTTCAATTATGAATGCAATGTAAAGCTCCTAAAGAAAGTTGATTTAAAGGATATTTCTCAGTTTCCGATTCCATACATCTTTCCATCCATTCTTTATACATATGTAAAATACATTGCTATCATTTTATGTAAATACAACATTTCTAGAATGGCATTCTCCCCTTTCACTTTCAGTTGAAATAACATAAGAGTTTTTTAACAGTCTTAAGTAATTGGAAGTTATCTAATGCCATAAAAAATCTTATACAAAACTCTGAAGAAAAAAATTAAATTTGAAAATTAATTTATGCTACATTGCTTTGAGGTTTTAGACCCACCTCTGATATAGTATATGAAAGTTAAAAGCTTAACAGTTGTCCCCAATCATGTACAATTCAACATCTATCAATTATTTTTCTCTGAATTTTTAAGATTTCATTCAAGCAGCTTTAAAAGCTTACCATTTTCTTTCTTTATATATAACACTCCAATCAAGCCAGAAACTAACAAAGGTGTGGTGATTTTAAACATTTTTATTATATTTTCACTTTGTACTCACTGCAGTAGTCAGACCAGGTTGCCATAATAAATACCATAGACTGAGTGGCTTCAGCAACAGGAATTTGTATCTCACAGTTCTAGAGGTTAGGAAATTCAAGATCAAGGTGCAAGCAGATTCCATTCCTGGTAAGGGTTCTCTTCGTGGCTTGCAGATGGTCACTTTCTAGCTGCATCCTCACATGGCAGGAAGAGAGAAAGCTCTGATCTCTCAGTGTCTTATAAGGGCACTAATCCTATAATGGGGCCCCCACCCTTATGATCTCATCTGTCCCCAGTTACCTCCCAAAGGCCTCACCTCCAAATACCATCACACTGAGGTGCAGGGCTTCAACATATGAACTTGGGTGAAACAAAACATCCAACACTTGACACTCACTTTCTCATGCAATTAAGCAGAAATGAACATTGTATCATTTCTAAGAGATGTGGACTACTAGATACTACCTTGTCAGGAGCTTTCACATTATGTACATTTCTCCACTCTTCCATGGAAGTGCCAAACCAAGCATCTACACATTCCTAAGGAATCTACACATTCCTAAGGAACTACTCGTTCCTAAGCAAGGTATGAGGCTTGCTCATAAAAACCATAGTAATCACTGTGTCTGTAACTAGATTACTTAACCTGAGGCAACATACTTCAGGACACATTTGAGGAATATTTTTGGCCTGAGTGCTATAATTATACAGTGTTTCAAAAAGTCTGCTACCTAGCAATGAGCTATAATGGTTTTCTCTTCGACCCCCAATTTAGCTTTCAGATTGGTAAATGAACCAAGTGACTAAATATTACTTAGCAGTTCAAGTAGCTTCCCTTCCCCACCACTTTTCTCACTGTGCAGAAAGGAGAAGGCTTTTTCAAATGCAAATATGAAATTTGGCTTAAGATCTTAAGAAATAAATTTTCACCCATCAATGGCTGACTTTTCTGGCCACCCTTTAAAAAAGAAATGCTTCCTTATCCTTAGAGATCTAAAACAAAATTTTGTTTTAACCTCATTTTTCCATAGGTCCACTCTCTTCAGATTAAACTGAAGTGAGCAAGAGTAGGTTTTAAATATTAATCACTCCATGCAATGTCCAAGCAGAACAAATAACTTGACAGGCAATTTCCAGTTTTTACACATTGTTCTTGAAAAGGCTCACAAGCAGCAGTTCAACAGGGACTGCCTCTCTGTGATATGTACTGTTTTTTATGCTTACTTTTACACTGCACAACTAAAGAATATCATGCATGCTTTTGCCTTGATCATTAAAATAATCAGATACTGTATAAGCACAAGCACCTTCCCACATATACATAGATAGTAGATAATACTCCCCTCAAAGAAAAAGATGAAAGATGTTAAAATGAATAAGGACAAAGAAGAGAACAAAGCTGGGAGATAAGCTAGACTGCAACCAGTGCATAACTTGAAGCTAAAGTTATTTCCACATATGGTCACACCAAATCACATTTCTATTTGTTTCCCCATCACTCTCTTCATGTTGACAAGTCAGCTTCAACTGACATGATTAACCCTGGAATTGCTAAGCATTATTAAACTAGGAGAAGGAAAGAACCTGAAACTATACAGAGGTGTAAGTGTAGCTGAAAATTAAATGAGTTCAGTCTACCAATGGATTTCCCCAATAGTAGAAATGTAGTGTCCAGAGGACACATTTGTAATGAAACAGGAAAACACAAAATGCATTATGCACTCAGAAAAATTAGAGTAAGGATACCTCCAATGAACAGGCAAAGTTTCTAGAATGGAGTCTGTATCTGAAAGGACATTGAAGAAGCCTCCATATGTCCATGCGTTCTTTCTTTAAAAATGTTATTTCCCAGCTTTCTTTAAATTAAGTGCCACATTTATCAAGGCTGTAGCCTTGGAATAGTTAATCTAAAGTTTAGAAGCACATTCTGGACCTTTGCCCTGCTAGGTACTGAAAACAGGGTGAGGAAACTTTCTTTAAGAGAGTAAGTCACTGGAGCATTGCTACAAATATCTTCAAAGACAAGCCAAATCAACTTGGCCATCTAGACATTGAGAAAGAGCTGGAGCCATCTATCTGACAGTGCAGGGGGCAGGGGAAGGTCGACCATCAGAATGTTCTCTCTTCTTCAAAATGTTGGTTTCTCAATTACATTGGCACTCAAAATTTAGTGCCAATTTAGTATTGAAAGAAATACACGTCACTAAATGAGAATTTCCTTTACCAATAAATAAAACAGGTTTTATCCTCATTTACATAATTTCCTGACCATTAGGGTGGTTCAACACTGGATGGAAAGGGGAAAGAAGAATATGAAAACACCTCCCCTAGAGATTTCTAGGAAGAAAGAAGCCTGTGGCCCGGAAGGCTTGTGACGCTACCACCTAAAGGCAGAAATTTGGATCAGATCATTTCCCAATTTCTTCCTCCTTCTACAGTTTATAAATATATTTAAATTCATGTAAGGAGATCTGTTTCTGAGTAAGATGAAGTAAGCACACTCCATCTTGTCTTTCCCATTGAGTGTGGCTATAGCAACATAATTAGAACAAGGGTTTGAGGATTCTAAAAATAATAATAATAACAGGTGGATCAGGAAGGAAGATCAGAGTTCAAAGTACCATCAAATCTGTAGTGAGTAAGTCATCTTTTCTCTCTGGCATTCAGAACATTGAGGGGCTTCAGGGCAATTAGAAGCCCTAAACTGGGCAAGTAGGGAGCCTTCTGCCATACTCAAGGCTATTTTCAGATGTCGTCCATTAGACACTAGGAATGCACTCACTTTAGTCAGTGGGCTGAGCCCTGGCTTTGGAGATCAGGCAGATTTATTTTCAAATGGTGGCTCTGCCAGTTAGAAGTTCTGTAAGCTTGACAATTATTTAAACTCTCTGAGTCTTTTCCTTATCAGCACAATGATAATAACACCACATTATAAGATCGTATGCACAGCACAACCCCAGATTTGCTAAAAGTTCTCGCGCCAGGAAAACGCAATGATTCTAAATTTGTATATAACATAAAATGCAATCTCTCTTATAATTTCTTAATTTAATGTACCAATTATGCCAGTCCTTTAGTCAAATTTCACGGACTACAATTTTCCAGAAAATGTACAGATATAATTCACACTCATATTACTCTAAGATTAAGTCTCTAGTTTCCTCTCCTGTACACTCAACAAAACAAGGGCAAAGACTCAAGTTCCTCTGATTAAAATCTCTACCTGTACTTGCCATTCAGATTTGTTGCTTCAAAATGGCTCACATAAAATAAATTAATACCCTAGATAACTTGCTAATTTCCTTTTCAAAAAAATTGTAAAATTTTCCTTCATAATGTTTCAAAGAAATTATTGTCCTAATTGGCATTTCAAGGGATAGATTAGAATGATTCATAATGTCCCTTCCTGCTCTGACATTCTATAAGTTCATGATTTGTGAGATTTTTGGAATATGGAAACATAGTTCTTTCTTCCCCAGTGGACACTAACTAAATAATTAATTCCTGTTTCAAGGAACCCTCAAGGGCATGTATGCACAAAGATGAGACAAATTATCTCATGATCAAATCTTGAGATTCTTGAGAACAAGAAGCACACCTCATTTCTTTTCTATCTTCCACAGCATGTTCAGCACAACTGGACTCACATATCGCCACACCCAGTTCTAATTCTCAGCTAGCCAAAGCCTAGACAAGCTACAGGTTCAGTGGGAATAAGGTTAAAATTCAAAAGATACAACTGGGTTTTAGAGTTGTTTTCATAACAACTCTAAAACAAAATAGTGCACCATAAAGGGTACTGCATAAAAGTTCACTTCTTCCCTGAACTTATTCAGGAGGAATATGAGTAAAGTGTTATTCAATATAACAAAAGCCCTTTTGATAAGTAGACAGAGAATAACACTATTCAGAACCACATGTGATTGTCATATTCGTCTGTTTTCCTGTATTTTCCTTCTCACATAACTATTTTGAACTTTTAATTTCAGCCTATTATCGTTTTTATAATTTCCCAAGAAGATTGCGGATTTCCAAGAACATCACTTAAAACCTGGAAATCCCTTTACTAACAGAAGCATTCAGTGAGGAAAAAAATACATCAAGATGGGGTCAATTCTGTTACTGTGCAAAGGAATCTCTTTGAAAAATGAAATGTCTTTCATTTCTCCCTCACCTAGTTTTTATTATCTTTCATAGTATTTTTTAAGTATCATGAAGAAATTTGCATGCTGAATATTCATAGACAATATATAAAGATGTCCCTATGATATGAGAGAGGGCAGGGAAGTGCTGGGTAGAGAAAGGCAGGTCCCTGGCTAGGGATCCACCCCCCAGGCCTGTGCTCAGGGACCTAGGTGAGGACAGGTATTTCTGTTTTCCTGCCCAAAGGTTGCATTTTCCAAGACCACCCTGTCCCGCCACGCCCCCACCCTGTGCCTATAAAAATTCCAAGACCCTAGCAGGCAGAAACACAAGCAGCGGGTCGCCGAGAGGAACACACTGGCAAAAGAGCACACAGGCGGCTGGAGGTGGAGAAGACAGGAAGAACACATCGACAGGCACCAGCAGACGCCGGCAAGCCATTGACCTGTGAACAACAAGGACTGGAGCCTGGCCGAGGCGGTCAGAGGAGTGTCCAGCTACTGAGCGGCCAACTCCAGGGGAAAACCACCTTCCCGCTCCATGCCCCTTCTGGGTCCCCATCATCTGCTGAGAGTTTCCACTGTCAATAAAACTTTGCATTCATTCTCCAAGCCACACAGAGTCAAGAACCCGGGATACAGAAAGCCCTCTGTCCTTGCTATAAGGCAAAAGGTCTAATTGAGCTGACTAACACAAGCCGCGCGCAGACGGCAGAACTCAAAGAGCACACTGTAACACAGGCCCACTGGGGCTTCGGCTGTAAAACATTAGCCACTAGATAGTGCTGTGGAGTCGGAGCCCCGCAACCCTCCATCTGCATGCTCCCTCCAGGAGTATGAGCAGCATGGCACTGAAGAAGCGAGCCACACCCCGTTGCACACCCTGAGAGGGGCATAGGGAACTTTTCCCATTTCACCTAGATGACTAAGTGAAGACTATGCTGGTGCTATTTATACATATTGGCTTATTGCATTCTGCTCAATGAACAAAGAAAGCAAGCCTAACAAAGTCTATTGAAGATTTACATTCAGATTGTGTCATCATATGTGTAAGATGCCTGGACAGAAGTCAGTTACTAAGTATGTACGTATACATATACATACAGTTATCCCTCAGTATCTATTAGGGAGGGGATTGGTTCTAGGACCCACGAGATACCAAAATCCTCAGTGCTCAAGTCCTTGGTATAAAATGGCATGGTATTTGCATATAATTTAGACGCAGCCACTTGTATACTTTAAGTCACCTCTAGATTACTTTTGATACTTAATACAATGCAAATGCTATGTAAATAGTTGTTATACTGCATTTTAAAATTTATATTATTTTTTATTTTTGTATTATTTGTATTGTTTTTTCCCTAATATTTTTCATCGACAGCTGGCAGAATCATGGATGTGGAACCCACAGAAATGGAGGACTAATATTGTGTGTGTGTGTGTGTGTGCGCTCGCGCGTGTGTACACACATATATCCAAACCAATTTAAGGAGCTATAGCATATGAAAAATGATCATTTCGAAAATTTCACATGCATAGAAAAATAGACTAGAAACTTCTGTTTCACTCATAAATACCATTGAAAGAAGTTTTACTCATTTTGTTATGAACTTAACTTTCTTAGGTTTAACAGAACTTAAATCTTAGTAGTCGTATTTATCTTTCATGGTCACATAACTGTTTCTGAACGTGTTCATTTAACTGCTGCTGAAGCTAGTTTCTTTTTAACAGTAAACAATAGTGTCTTCTACTGTTCTTGACATTGTATGTTGTTTTCTTAACAAAGTCTACCCATTCACTTTGAAAGACTTTCAAACAAATCAAGAAACTTACCAGGAGCCTTATAGGAGTCATGGAGTCCATAATTCTGAAGAGACTTTAGCCTCAAATTTCCACTCCATCTATTGTATGCATGCAACCAAGATCAGTCAGCAATAATCTGGGGCATGCTGACAGGATAAATTATAATGTGCCACAAGAACAGAGAGGAAATGTCAAGGTTCAAAGACACCTAATGCCTCTCAGCTCTATGTACCAGGAAAATGAAAAGCAATTTTATGACACATATTTTAGCAAGCGCTTTCTCTACGACTAGGGTACCATTACTCTGGCAAGTGTACAACCTGGTACTTGTAACTACCTTTTAAACTTTTACTATATCTCAGATAACAGTTTTTAGATTTTTTTAAATATACTTTAATGTTTCACATGGGTTACAAAGTGACTGGAAGAGACAGCCCTACTCTTCTCCTTTGCCGCCTCCTACACCCTGCAGGTTGAGTTCTCTCAGTAATTAGCCGGAGGAACACACACTTCTCAGAAGTGAGGTGAGCACACAAAAGACAGTCCAGATCAGTAAGCTCTTCTCTAGCTGTAGATTCTCTAGTGGAGAACAAAGCTGCCGGAAATGCTGCACATATAGCCCAAAATGTAAAATGAGGATAATATTGCCTATGTCAAGGAATTATGAAGAATAAGTGAGAAAACACAGAAACAAGAGTCAGCCTTGATTTAGCACTCTTAGCCTCTCCCATCTCATCCCACAGGAACTCAGCTGTATTCCCTCAAACGTACCCACTTCCCTCCACTTGCAAGGACACGTGGACAGCCCAAGAAATTACCCAATTCTGCTATGCCACAGTCTTTTCTAATCACAGCTCATAACATTCTGGGGCACTCGTGAACCTTGAGCCAAAATCAGAATTAGCAAGACTACATCTCTACCTGAAGAAAAACCATCTGAGTCTGTGCAGCGGTCCCTTATCCACATCTATGCTTCCTGCTCTTCGTTTCCTTGCACATATCTTAGACCAATTCAATTGAACAAGTGTTTATGATGGACATAGTACATGCTTAATGCTGGGCACCAATAATTAGCAACAGAGATACGTCCCTGTTCAGAAGGTTGACAACAAAATAGTGACATAAATAATTATACAGCTATAAAGAGTGAAATGTCACATGAAGGAAAACCAAAAAACTAAGGATGGTGAAAAATCTCTCTAAGGAAATTTGAAAAAGATCAATTTAAGTAAGCCAAAGAAAGGGGAACAGTAAGAATATTCCAGGCAATATTTGGGAAGTCCCCGAAACAGAAAGGGCGGCTATGGAGGAAGTGAAGGGCCAGCGTGGCTGGGGCTATGGGTTCAGGGAGCACAGAGTTGTGCAAGCATGGACACCAGCAATGGCAGGCCAAGTCCATGCTGCTCACAGTTATTTGTCCTGAGGGCACTAAGAAAGGACTGAAGGTTTTTTAGCAGAGGAAGGAGAAGATCTTATTTATAAGATGTCAGTAAAGGGCACTATGGCTGCAATGTGGAAAACAGACTGTAGAGGGCACAAAAGTGGAGCCAAGTTAAGATGCTATTGGTCTAGTCCAGTAGGAGAGGTGGTAACAGCTTGGACTCAGGTGGCCACTGTGCTGATGGGGGGAATGGTGAGGTCTGAGGTATATCATGAAAGTGAAATTGATTACTGATAAGTGATAAGAAGAAAAAAATCAGGTGATTCTCAAATTTCTGGTGTTCTAACTTAATCTTTATAGCCATACGAAATAGCATGAAGCCTCATTTTACAGATTTATTTATCCATTTAACAAATATCTGTGGAACTCCAAGCATAGTGATTTAGAGCATCAATGCCCGAGTTTAAATACTGGTTTGGCCTCTTGGCAACTGTGTCACTTTGAGCCAGGTTCTTAACCATAAATGTGAGGAGGATCCTTAAATCCCTTCCTGGACCGCTACAGAGGTTTCTGAAATTTAGAGGTTGTGGGAAACAGATGGAATATGCATCTCTGAGGCAAACCTTGCTCTTTAGAGATGTGATCTTGCATCATTAACATATGGAGTGGCTGGGTGCTGTGGCTCACATCTGTAATCCTAGCACTTTGGGAGGCTGAGGCAGGTGGATCACTTGAGGTCAGGAGTTCGAGACCAGCCTGGCCGGCCAACATGGTTAAACATCATTTCTACTGAAAATACAATAACTAGTTGGGTGTGGTGGCATGCACCTGTAATCCCAGCTACTGGAGAGGCTAAGGTAGGAGAATCACTTGAACCCAGGAGGCAGAGGTTGCAGTGAGCTGAGATCGTACCATTGCACTCCAGCCTGGGTGACAGAGTGAGACTCCATCTCAAAAAACAAATATTCAGAAAAAAAATCTTTTGCTGAAAAATGACTTTTCTGTTAGTGAAGTTCACCAGGCAATATAGTTTGTATTTTTATCCCTCTGAATCTCAGGTTGAAATGTGATCTCCAATTCTAGAGGTGGGCCTAGTGGGAGGTGTTTTGGTCTTAGGCATGGTACTGTCCTTGCAATAAGAAGTATGTTCTGGCTGTATTAGTTCAGGTGATAATTGGTTGTTTAAAAAGAGGCTGGCACCTCCTCCTCTCTCTCTTGCTCCCTCTCTTACTATGTGGCACACAGGGTCCCCGGCCTCTGCTATGAGTAAAATCTTCTTGAGGCCTAACCAGAGGCCAGGCAGTTGACAGCACCATGCTTCTTGTAGAGTCTGCAGAATCATGAGACAAATAAACCTCTTTTCTTTATAAATTACCCAGCCCCGGGTATCTCTTTATAGCAATGCAAAAGAGACCAATACACCAAATTACTGTGTTACCTGAGAATAAAACAACATTTCAGAGGTTCTTCTTAGGCAAATATATGACAGCACCAATCAACTATTTTTTCACAGAGGTAGAGATTGTTATGGCAGAGTTTGCAGACTTTGATCTCGATAGGGTAACGGGCAGAGTGGAGCGGACCTAGTAGAAGAATTCTAATATTCCAGTGTCAACTTATTCACTTTCCATACTGCAAATAGATGCTTAGTCTCAGAGTCAGAAACAAAATATGGTAGAGACTATGGCCAATTGGAAAGAATGTGTCTGGAATAAAGAGGTCAGCAGATACTCATTTCCAGCTCTGTTACCAGTGTGCACAGTTTTTAAAAAAGAATCTAGAAATCAGGACTTCTATGGAAACTCTCTTAGTATTTAAGTACTGGATCAGAATTTTTAAGCAATGTGATATGTGGGCTAAATAAAACACATTTAAAATTCAGATGAACCCCGTGGCCTCCAGTGTGAAGCCTTTGGTTTCCACTAATTCAATAGGGCCTCTGTGGGATCACGTAACTGGGGGAGGATGAGTGAGCAGGAGAGAACTAGGAAGGTGATCCCAGGGCAATGTGATGCAGACACAGAAACCCTGCCTCACCGACCAGATGAGCTGGCACAGAGCATGAAGGGAGGAGGAGGAAACAAGATGTGAACTGACAGACCACTCAATCAATTTTCCTTGTAATTAATGGCAAGTTTCTGAAGAGAAAACATTTCTGCCTTTCATAAACATTCTGAACTTATCTAGCACAATTTAAGTAAGTCAGATTAAAAATCAATTACTTCCATTCCTTTGATCTGTGGAATAAAACTTTGTTAGAAACGAAAGCAATTTTCTCATATCTTTTTTTTAATGTTCTCAACAATGCCTCTTCTGTTTAGTCTAGGGGAGGAGTAAAGTCTGTTGGCTAAAAATAACTGAAGAGTCATGTAACATCTAAGGGATTGGGGGTTTAACCAGCAACCCTTCTCTGCCAGATTTCCTCAATAATTAATAAAGATCCTGATCTTGCAAGTTTTTGATATGAGGATGAAATTCATAATATTTCTCTGAAAGTCAGTGTTCAAGGAATTGAAATCACCATAATATAATTTCCACATGTGATAGTTAGTGCCAAAAGTTTTGCAGTCTATGGTGAGATAGAGAGATACAGAACATATGATATATACTGGGCAATGAGATCACGCTCTTGTTTCCTAGCCCTGGGAACTTGGAGCAGAAGAAAGGAAAGGGAGACATTAGGAGGGAAGCCCTGAGCCTCACAAGAGCAGAGAAGTAAGAAACTGTGGATGAAAAGGGAGAACATGCTGAGAGGTATGAGGGAGACACCAAGAATAAGCAGCAGAGGTGAGTTTCTCACCTAGGACATCTCCAGGTTTCCAGAGTGGGGTGGAATGTCGGTGACCCACAAAACAGATTAGATGTGGGGTATCTCAGTATTGTGCTCTCTATCCACCCATAGCATAGGCTCTCTGGCACAGGATCAAGAGGCACTGAGACTGGAGGAATATTCTTTTTTTTAATTTTTGTTTATTTATTTATTTATTTTTGAGACAGGGTCTCACTTTCGCCCAGGCTGGGGTGCACTGGCCCAATCTTGGCTCACTACAGCCTCCACCTCCTGGGTTCAAGTGATTCTAGTGCCTCAGCCTCCTGAGTAGCTGGGACTACAGACACACACCACTGCGCCTGGCTAAGTTTTTGTATTTTTAATACAGACAGGGTTTCACCGTGTTGGCCAGGCTGGTCTCGAATTCCTGACCGCAAGTGATCTGCCCGCCTCAGCCTCCCAAAGTGCTGGGATTACCGGCATGGAGGGACATTCACCAGCAGTCAGCACCCACTTGTGGCACAACAAATCGAAATTTAACTTACAATTTGTAGAATTGATTTCACTTTATCTAGTTGCAAAGTCATTTAAAATTGTCCACCTCAACTTTTCTGTTCTTCACTCCAATTCTGAAGGTGGCTAAACCAGATTACTGAGAGACAGGGATTCGATCTCTGAATAATCGTAAATTCAAGTCCACTCAGCAAGTGCTTTTGAGCACCAGCTACATGCAGAGCTCTGAGGCAGAGGGAGAACAAAACCTAAGAAATATCTCCCGCCTTAATGATGTTCACATCCCAAAGGTAGAACCAAGGTTTTGAGAAAGTTGCAAATACAAATGCCCTACAGAAAAAGAAATATATTAACTCTCACTCCTTCACATTAAATTGAAAATAACCGATTAGGAGCACATGTGTAAGGACACCTCTGGGTATTCTTACAGAAGATGAGTGAGCTTCCACAATGCAGAGAATGTTAGTTTTAAGCAAAATCCTCCGAATACATGAAGAGAAGTTTAAGATGCCTTTTTAAAAAATCTTACTTTCTGTGCTCTACAATTTTTGCCCAAGGACTGCCTGCCCTGTTTACCTTCCACTGTGGTGACAAATAGATGGTACTTCCCTGGGTACCAGGGTATTCTATACTGCATATGATTGAGTACAGATACAACTAAGAGAAAGCATTTCTGCTAACTCATTGTTTTCTTCCTATTTTTCAGGTATAATTTCAGAGAACCTGTAAGAAACCTCTTCAAGCTATTGCAAGAAACACTCACTTCTAAAAATAAAGAGAAATCTGTTTTCCCTACTTGTATTTCAAGTTATCTAAAAGTAAAACCAATTACACAGTGATTATCTATTGCTCTTTAAATCTGCTTTATACGAAACCTAATAGGGTACAGGGTTTTTAGAATTTCGCTTTTCCTTTTAGATATTTTACTCTCTATCCTTGAGCCATCATTTTAAGTCTATGAAATTTTATTTTTTCAACTCTCACAGGCAAAATGGCTGCATCTCCACTGAGTTATATTGATCTAGTAGGCATCTGAGGCCTAAAATGATGTAACTAGCAAAGGGTAAGTCTCCTGGAAGTTGATGTTTTGGTTCACACAAATTTCTACCACGGGGAGATGCTTGACTTATCCTAAATTACTTTTTCTTCTCCAAAGTTGGGGAAGCAATCTTTAGCAATCAAAATTTCTCAAGAAATATTCCAGCAAGCCAGGGCAGTGCTGGAGTGCCTTTATTATTTCTGTTTGATGTACTTCAGAAAGAATGAAAGCACAGGAAACATTCCAAACTCAAATACCATTAGGATTTGTGAACTCCAGCAATAATCTAAAGTGGAGAAAAATGTCTCATTTTATGAAGTGCACCTTGTCTCACTTCCTGAAAATCTTACAGCATCTTCAGGTGAAGCTTAAACCATCCATTAAGAGTGTAAGTCAAGTGTGTAATTCTTGGTAAACAATTTTTCTTGGCAAACCCAAGTGAAAGTTAATGGTGCTTGAAGATACTTTTGAATTTCTCCAAAGGGAGGTTATATGAAGGCTGAATAGTTTGGTTTAGAGATATTAAGCGGAAATTCACAAAACAAAATAAGAACAGAGAGCTGATCACTTAGGTCTAACCTGATAGGAGGACCTGGTATCTTGGTCTCTTGAGATTATCCAGACAGCACTAATTTTAGGAATTTGGCCCTGTTTGCTTTAGATCCTTTCTTCTGAGTCACTGGAATGCCCTATGGTGTAGGCAAACGATGTCTTTCCTTCCCTTTTCAGGCATTTTAGGTTTCAGGCATTACCGTAAAGAAATCTGCCAGCTTTTCTTAAAGTTAGATAGAAAAAAATAGCATTTTCCTGATTAAAATCTGTTCTGTAGTTTCCTCCTTCAGTAAGTAAATTAATGAAGACAAGTAGCCCCTGAATAAGTGGACATGATTAGCATTAAGTCAACCAGAAAGCTCTACATGGCACTTAACACCAAAAGTCAATGTTCCCCAAGCCACAGACAAACTTCTTGAGCGTCTTCACAGAAAAAAACAGCCAAAGTTCCTAACACGCCTTGAGGAGGACAGTGCACTCCCAGCTAAGAACCACTGATCTTACCCAAATCCCTTATTTTACAGATGAAAAAATAATGACCAAAGAATTGAACTCTCTGTCACTTAAAGAATGAGTTAAGATCAGAAACCAAACCTCCTGACTTCAAATTCACGCACTCTACTAAGATGAGCAGGTTCTTCCTATTGCTATAAGATACACATATTTTTATCATAAAGAATAAAGATAATCAGACTCTCTGAAATTTGTTTGAAAATCATCTTGAATTATTTTCTAGCTCTTCCTGATATGGACCCTTACTAACAGTCACTAGAATGTGTCTTCCCTATAGGCCTTGGGAATGACTGTGAACACACATTTCTATATCAAGACTCACAAATGCCCAGCCTGGGCAACATAGCAAGACCTGATCTCTACTAAGATTCAAAAAAAAAAAAAATTAGCTGAGCAAGGTGGCACGCACCTGTAGTCTCAGCTACTAGGGGAACTGAGGCAGGAGAATTGCTTGAGCCCAGGAAGTTGAGGCTGCAGTGAGCCACGATCATGCCACTGCACTCCAGCCTGAAAGACAGTGAGACCATGTCTCAGAAAAAACAAACAAACAAACAAAAAAGAATCACACATGCAATATTTAATGAGTTTTGCTTCATCCATCTTAAATTCTCATGTTTCTGTAGAATGATTAATTTGATAAGTAAATGAAATAATATATTAAAAATAAATTAGTAAATTATAAAAACACAAATATTATTCATTTGTATTTGTATTTGTTAGTACTGTACAGTTTTACGATTTAGTATTACCATCATTATCTTCTCTGTGACCTGAGGCCTTTATGGAGTTCAGCATTGAAGACGGCATTCTTCTAACTCTTCTCACTTATTTTCCTTCCAGGAATCTTCTGGATATAATTATCAAATTGGTATTTAAATGAAGAATCGCTCATAGCTTTATAATTATAGCCTGGCTTTTTTACCAAGGATAGATTAAAATATGAGACTTGGTTACATTTCCTTTTATGTTTTGGTTGTTTCATAGGCTTTCTAAGTATATTACTATTCCTTTTCTTATTTGTCAAGATATTTTTATAGTCCACTTTTTAGACATGTGAACTTGGGCAAATTTAGAAGCTTCTCTGAAAATTAGTTTCCTCATCTGTGAAATGGAAATAAAAATACCTACCTAACAAAGTTTCTTTTTGGGTTTTTTGTTTTGTTTTGTTTTGTTGTTTTGGAGACAGAGTCTTGCTCGTATACCCCAAGTTGGAGTTCAGTGGCACGATCTCGGCTCACTGCAACTTCTGCCTCCCGGGTTCAAGTGATTCCCATGCCTCAGCCTCCCGAGTAGTTGGGATTACAAGTACCTGCCACCATGCCCAGATAATTTTTGTACTTTCAGTAGCGACGGGGTTTCATCATGTTGGCCAGGCTGGTCTCGAACTCCTGACCTCAGGTGATCCACCCTGCCTCAGCCTCCCAAAGTGCTGAGATCACAGACGTGAGCCACCGCCCCTGACTCAAAGTTTTTTCAGAATTAAACTATAGTATTTTTCCCCAATCCTCCTTTTTCTATTTTTAGAATTCAAATAAATAATTGGAAAAAAATGGGGGCAAAAAAATGGACAATATGTTAATATTATGCTTATATTTGGATAAATACGACTTAGATTCAGAGACTAAATCTATCAGTAAACCAAAACTCTATTGACTAATTTAATTTCTTTACATACTACTGACAAGAATTGGAGTCCTTTGATCTAGAGTACAAACAGCAGAAGTAATAACTACTCATCTACTCATCTGTTTCAAGAAACTAAGAGGATAAAGAGCATGGAAACCCAAAGCTCATAAAAAGGATAAACCTAGGTTTAAACAAGGGCGACAGCTTATTCTATATTGATAAGTTAAACAATAACTTACATTCAAGGATCACTTTACAGTTTACAGAACACCTTGGCTTACATTATTTTATGAAAACTGAAAGTCAGTAGAACCAACAATATGTGAATATATGGGTATGAGTAATAGAATTCGATGATTATATAAAGCTAAGAATTTGACTAACAGACTCAGACCACAAAGCACAATGAGAATAAACAGGTGGCAGTGGAGGAAGGGCAGGTTAAAGTTCAAGCTTAGTCATATTTTTTAATTATTAATACTAAGTTTCCATTGAATGGACTGAGTATTTTTGTTACTGTGTAAAGCAGAAGTTGTCAGAGTTGTGATAGAGCCAAGGTTGCATTTTCTGGGAATCTGGATTATGTGACCTATATTCCCCCCAACTCTTAGATTCTATGAATTGATGGTGAAAAGTGACCAAAGAGTTTAAAGAGGCACAAAAGAGAAACAATGTTTGACCAAGATAACTTATTAAGCAGAGTATATGACTCTTGGAAAATAAAATCAACATGGCCACATTCTTGGAAGATGAAATCTTCAAGAATTTCAGCGGATGGTATCCAAGTTCAGATAGAGTGAATTTGTACAAGAATTGTACACAATTCTAACCACCTTACAACACATCAACACATCAAGAATTCAATTTTTAAGAATTGCTTAAGAAAATAAGAATTAATAATCATCCCTATTGGTCCAGTAACTTAATTCCAGCAGCAGCTATGTACCTGTCTAGTTACAGGTTTTTCTTCAAAAACTAAACCACATTTAACCATTTTTCCCCACACTGGGCATCATTTTTCTTCTCTTCTAAGAAGTAGTCTAAGAAATTATACTCTTTGTGCAGAAAGCGTGTTCTGAAAACACACAAAATAGGGACTTGGGAGGGGCACTTTGTTAACAGATTGTGTGCTTCGGTGTGTGTATGTGAAAATGAGAGGCAAAAATACAGAAAACTGACAGCAATTGAGTCAATGTTCTTCACAGAAAATTTCAAAGATCTTTCCACTGACACAAAACAAGAAAATAACAAGACTACGAACACCCCAGGAATTTCAAAAATGCTTCACAGGTCCCTAATAATTACACAAACAAAATTCTTTATTTCTGAGATATGATTAAACCTCCACAACTAATATTTCGTTCAGCTCTCAGTTCTCTCTCCACTGACCAAAACTTTTTAATGAGATAACGTAAATTTATGTTAAGAAAGTGTCTCAACATTCTTTTTTTCTGTATTTACTGAATTATTTATTTATACAACCCTGGTTGAATTTTAAAACTTTTTCTACTTCTCCCTAAGAACATTTCTATTCACTCATAGTTCAATTTGAGATTCGTTTTCTATTCATAATCAAAGCTACAGTGACTAAAGATACAAAAGGAGTAAGGTAATGATAGATAATTTTGTTGCTTAAGAAAAATGTCTTAGTGCTAATAAATTCCCTCCTTTTTAATCATAAGCTTTACTTTTGCAGAAAGTTTTTCTAACCAGATATTTCTTTGGCTTTTTATTTTACAAATAGTTATTGCATAACTATTGTATGCCAGGCACTGGATCAAGGAATACAAAGTGTATAAAGATATAAAGATGAATAAAATTTAGTTCATGCCCTCAGAGACTAATTCTTGTACACAATTACTTTAAGAATATACAAGATGTTCAGAAAATCACAATAGAGGAGAAAACAAATTCTGTCCTTTGTTAGATGCCTATCAATACATTATTGAAGCATATTTTTAAATATCAAATCAGAAGTATTATTTTTCATATAGCATTATTACAGAAAATCAGAGTCAAAATAATTATTCCCATTAAAATACTTTTCTAGGAATGTAATTTGCCATGACTAAAAGGTCTTTGTTGTTACCAATGAATAGGAAGTGTTCCTGTTCTGCACTACTAGCCTATGTCTTATAAAAGTAAAATAAAATAAACATTCAGCTTTCTTCTACTTTTAGAAGCTTCACTAACCTCAATGCCTTGATCGACGTTCCTCTGGTAATCACATATTTTCTGCTACCATTACCCAAAAAAATCAATGTGCATGAAGTGGGAAATAAGTAAAATATTTTGAGTTATTGCAGCCAGGAAAAATATCCTTAATAGTATCACAAATGAAATGTAATCATTGCTTTGTGTCTGCATGATCCAAGGCCTGATTGTGATACAGCGTGATGTCCATCGAGATACTAAAGGGCCCCTCCCACTGCACAATAATCATAGCTTTCACTAGGAATAACCCCACCACCACCACCAAAATAAAATAAAATAAAATAAAGTGAGCAAGGGTCTGAACTAAGGCAAAGTGGTGACCCTGTTGGAATTCAGAATCTTGGACAAGCAGAGAGATGAGGAACACAGCCTGGTTCTCACCTACTGAGAAAAAAATCCTCAAAGCAGACAAATGCAGTTACAAGTTGGTAGCCATCTGTAACAGCAGAAGCATATACAATTTAAACCAAAGCTAGCTTGAGTTAGAGCCCCAGAACCAATATGTTCACCAATAAATCTAAGGTCACAGTGCAAGCCACTACAAGTAACAGTTGGTAGGAACAATAGATTTGTAGAAGGGCCGTGTATGAAATATAAATAAATAAAGGTGTTTCCTTTGTTATCACAAAGATGAGCATACAAAAAGAGGCTATGTGAAGTAAGAAGCAGACTGAGAATGAAAAGAAGGACTTCTAGAAATAAGTAAAACAATATATTTTTGTCGAAATCATTTTTCTATTCCTTGTCTCAATTGTCAAGTTCATTTCACTTTACAGAGTGTGTTTGCAGGTATAGCCAATGTTCCTTAGTTTAAAAGCAAAAACCATCACCATTGAGTTATAGAGTGCAACAAAGAAGGAAAATGGTCTTTAGACATAAAGTGGAAGCCATGACTTTGCAAAGCACTCTGGATGTAGCAAAGGAACCCATTAGACTTGATGATTAAAGATGGTGTTTTGAGCAAATGCAGAAGTAAAGGCCATAACTGGGGAATGAAGACCAGGAACCAAGAATCTGACTTTCCAGCACTAACAGCTGAAAGGAAGAGCAGGGCAGGGCGGGGTAGCGGGGGAACTCAATTTAGGAAGTCAAAGACTGCTTCTCAGCTACCAAGATTACAGGTAAACACCAACTACTTAGTGATACAGAATTAGAACTAATACAGATATATACTGCATACCACTTGTAGAAAGTTGTGTGTGATTGCTTATTATGGATCCTGAGCTCAGTCGTATACAACAATGTTTTTATTGTCTTCTTAAAATCCCCTTCAGATATCAGGATATGCTAATACATGAACTTCAAAGGCCATGTAGTAACCAGTCTGTTACTTAAGGCTCCAATGGGTAGAATGAGGACCCTATACAAACTTCTGATCTATAGAACTGTGAGCTATTAAATATGCATTGTTTTACACTGCCAATTACACAGTAACTTACTGCATAGCACTAAAAACCCAATACACTTTCTTTCCAAATATTTCCAAAATTCAGATTTTATTGTTTCCTTGCATTAAGAGTTCACAGGCTCCCCTTACTCCTTACTGCGATACACCAGACACTTTATTAATAATTGGGCTTCTACCTACCTCTCCAGCTTTATCCATAGTGAAACATCCCTAGAGGGCATAGGCTCCAGCCACACTGGATCACTAGCCTGTCCTGAAACATAAGGGTGGAGGCACAACAGATAGGCTCTCTTAACAATTCTTCCAATTTGTGTATCGCAGAGCCTAAGCAACCAAAAACTGCATTTCCCACTGGGGTGAACACACCCCAGTGAGCCATGCCCTTGTATAATCTCCTCTCCTTGTGTTCAGGCAGAGCCTAAGACTTGCATCTAACCAACCCAATCTGTCAAAGGTGACAGGATGTCACTCTCATAATTATGTTATTTTTCTATAAGGCTGTCTTAGCAAACTAGAGGAAGATTCTGCAGCACTTGTCAAAACATAGTAAAGTTGGGGGTTTTCAAGTGTCTCTTTTTTCTACTCTACCAATTCAGCTTAGAGGAAGAAAAATGTGTTTTCTTTTTTTATTTCCATGCCCCTGGTTTCTAGCATATCTAATAACTCTTGTTGGGTGGAACTGCACCCAACTATCCCATGTTCCTCCAACTCTGGGCTAGTAGGTGCTGAGTATCTTCCCAAGGGCCAGCCTAGCTATAGAAATCATTTAATTTGGAAGAACACACATGCACACACACACACACACACACACACACACACACACACACAGTGGCAAAAGGAAATATCTCTGTTCAAGCTTGGCAGAACTATCCTATGAAGCTATTCTTTTCAGCTTTCCAAAAATATCCCTGGGCCTGTTTAGATAAAAATTATCTCTCCAGATTAGGCACTTCTCTGACTCTTTATCTTTTGGCTACTCCTACACTTCAGCATCTTGTTTGACATTAGAATGCTGTCAAAAATAAATTTTAAAATTAGAAAAAAAGTGAAAATAAAATCAGCCATTTTGCTTTTGTTTTAACCAAATCATAAAATTCAAAGCTTGATACTGTGAACTTCTTAGTAATGCAAATATAATCTGCCGTTTCTTTTACTATCAAAAAGCTAAAGTAGATGTTTTTTAATTAGGTAAAATAACTCTGAAAAACATTCAGGCAGGTCCAGAACTAGATGTAAATAAACCATTAATTAGAATTGGTGGTGGAAAGGACTTTAATAAGTAACTTTCAAGACTCTGAAGCCAATATTAAAAGCTTAAATACGTGTAAATCTTATTTAATGTTTTAATTGCAAATATACTTATACCTAGGTAGGCTGTAAACTACTAAGACACAGGGAGCTTGATATATTTATTTGGATTTATTCCTAATAATTCTTGTGTCTTGAACAAAAGGATGTGTCCAAAATACTAAATTCCCAAATCCTAAACCAACAACTATTACAGTTGTAAGGTACCACCTCTATGTTTCAAAAGAAAATTTAGATAAATTGAACTCAATCAAAATAAAAATTTTATGCATTAAAGGACATCATCAAGAAGGTGAAAAGAAAACCTCTAATAGGAAAATATGTTTGCAAACATTTATATGACAAGAAGCTTGTATTCAGAATATACAAAGAACTCTTGTGACTCAAAAATAAAAAGACAAATAGCTGAATTCTAAAATGAGTGAAGGATCTGAATAGACATTGTTCCAAAAACAATATACAAATGTCCAATAAGCATGTAAAAAGATGCCTAACATCATTAGTCATTGGAAAAATGCTAACCTAAAAAACAGTTTGGCAGTTCTCAACAAGTTAAATAATTACCATACGATTTGCAATTCTTCTCTTAGATATATATACATGAGAAATGAAGACATAAGTCCACACAAATACTAGTACATGACAGCACTATTCATAATAGCTAAAACGTAAACAACCCAAATGTCCAGCAACTGATGAGTGGAAAAACAGCACATAGCATAACCATACAATGGAACATTATTCAGTCATAAGATGTGATGAAATACTGATGGGTAAACCTTGTAAGTATTACACAAAATGAAAGAAGCCAGTCTTGAAAGAAGCCATATTGTATTCCATTTAAATGTCCAGAATAATCAAGTTTATATTAGTTGTGGCTTACTGCTGGTAGGGACAGAGTGACTACTAACTAAAATGGATGTAGGGTTCCTTTGGAGGTTGATGAAAATAGTGTAAATGTGATGGTTGCATAATTCCATGAGTATACTAAAAACCATCGTACGTTTTATAGAATGAACTGGATGATACATGAGTTATATCTCAATAGAGCTGTTTAAAATGCATGTTAAAGTTTTTAGAGTATCTATTTAAAGATTGGAAATAAAGTAATATCCATACTAGTTAGTGTTGGTGGAGCAAAGAGAGGAGAATAACAAAATAAATAAAACCACGATATTTGGGGAAAAAAAGTCAAAAGGAGTGCAATAAATAATAATTAATCTGATAATTACAACAATTATAAGTAATCTAAATCAATATAAATGGATTAAAATTTGAAGTTAAAATGTAGAGATTGTCAAGTCCAATATGTTATTTGCATGCCACCAACCTAAAACATAAATATACAGAAAGATTGAAAGCAAACTTAAAAAAAAATGCCTAACCAACACTAGTCATACAAAGGCTGCTAAAGCTGTATTAAGATGAGACAAAATAGACATTTAAAATGTGGATATTGCTAGTGATTAAAAGGATCATTACATATTGATACAAATTTATCTTCCAAAAAGATATAACAATTCTAAACTCATGAGTGTAAAAACCTAGCTTCAAAATGTATTAAGCACAAAGTGAGCAAACTACAAAGAAAACATAACAAATCTACTATAAAAATGGAATAATTTTACTTACCTCATTCAGTCACTAACAGATTAAGCAGGAAAAAAAGCAAAACTTTTACACAATTAAGCTTAATTCAAGGAACAAAGGCAGAATACTATATTGTAAAATTGGAAAAATCAACATACTTTTCATCATACATAGGACATTAGGACTCCATGTGCCATAAACCAATTCTCAAAGACTTTCTAAGAATTACTCATATAAAGAGCATATTTTCTGACCTCAATGTAGTTAAGTTAGAAAACAACAAGAAAAACACAACTTCAAAAAACTCCTACATTAAGGGTGGAAAAAGCACACTTCTTAATAGCTTGTGGCTTAAAAAAGAACTAATATAGGTATTAGAAAATACTTATAAGCAAAAAATACTGCATATATAAGTTTGAAGAATGGCATATAAAGGAAAATTAATAGCCTTGGTTTTTAAAATAGAAAACAAGAAATACTAGAAATTAATGAAATAAATATCAAACTTAAAAAATCAGAAAAAGAATATGAATTGAACCCAAATAGATGAAGGAATGAAATAAAAATTATAAAGGCTAACATTAAAAAAAGCAGAAGACAAAAACTTAAAGACAGGCTCAACAAAGTCATAAACTGGTTTAACTATGGTAAAAGATAAATATAATTTTAAATAAGTAGTATTAGAAATAAGAAAGTAATGAACTATAGATTAAGCAGGTTAAATATAAGAAAATATTAATGACCTTATGACAGTACATTTGAAAGCTTAGATAAAATAGACAAATTTCTAGAAAATATTATGAAAATATCTTTAGAAAAATTAGGTCCACCTGAGAAGGTCTATATTTATTATATCAATTGAAGCAGTAATTAAATATCTTCCACAAATAAAACATGGTTTTGCAGGGGAATTCAATCAAACCTCAATGAAAAGAAAATCCAATTTATACAAACAATTCTAGAGAAGAGAAAAAGTAGAAGCACTCTCTGTCTCCTTTGAAGAGGCCAATATACATCTTTGATTTTGAAAACAGACAAGAAATGTATAAGAAAGAAAATTTGAGTCAATATAAGCCATTAATATTAAAATAAAAATTCTAAACAAAATATGAGCAAATCAAACCCAACAATTCACATATAAGATAATATATCATGCATCAATTGCATTTATGTAAGTATCTGCAAGTTTGGATTAACATTAAAAAATCATTTAATGTAATTCATCAAATTAAGAGTTTAAAAAATTATCTCAACTATTTCAATGATTTCATTTATTTATTTTTAATCTTTTAGTGATAGGGTCTCACTATATTGCCCAGGCTGGTCTTGAACTCCTGGCCTCAAGCAATCCTCAGCCTCCCAAATCAAGAGGATTGCAGATGCAAGCCACCATGCCCAGCTAATGATTAAAAAAAAAATAAAAATTGCTAAAAGTCATTGCATATGGTTATTTTTTAAAAACTTGTATAAACTTACAAAAGTAAGCAGAATGTTGTTTATGGGTATATCAGTATATAGTAAACTATTTTTATAAAGGCACAATAATCATCCACCCAAAAATTAGAACCAAGGTAAGCTTGAAGAATGAGAGACTGAGGAATAATACAGGAAACTTCAGATACATTGTTACTGTTTTATATTTTTTAAGCTCCATGGTAGCTACATAAGTGGGTTTCATGATCATTCTTTATACTCTTGTTGGTAAGAGCCATTTCTCAAAGAATAAACACATAAATTATTAAAAAATGAAAAAGTAGAGCTTCATAATGACTAATATATAAAGAGATCACTTACAAAGATAGCAGCTAAAAATATTCAAATCTTTTTTGATGCTATAAACCAAACATTAAAGAATTTTACACTTACTAGAATGATGCCTATGAACTTGGTTTATGGTGCTTTAGTCCAGATTACTGTCTGAAAGTGTAGATATACTTCATCTAAGTAGAGAAATGACCCTGAGTAGGGAGAATACAATTATAGAATTGGCATCCATGACAAAAATGCAATAGGGAGATCATTCTGCCTCTCACTCAGCTCTGCAGGGCCCCCAAGACACATAGGGTCTGATTAACTTCAAATGATAAATCTAAGAATGGCTACTAAAAATTGGGTACCTATTTTGTGCCAGCTATTTTACATAAATTATCTTGACAGCAATCCTGTAAAGTATGTATTTTAATACCCTTTCTACAGAGATAGAAACTAAAACTATATAATAGTTTTACTATATACTGATATACCCATAAACAACATTCTGCTTACTTTTGTAAGTTTATAAAAGTTTTTAAAGAGTAATCATAAATATGCAATGACTTTTAGCAATTTTTATTTATTTTTTTAAATCATTAGCTGGGCACGGTGGCTTGCACCTGCAATCCTCTTGATTTGGGAGGCTGAGGCGGGAGGATTGTTTGAGGCCAGGAGTTCAAGACCAGCCTGGGCAAAATGGTGAGACTCTATCACTAAAAAATTAAATCATATACCCCAGTTCACACCGATGATGAATTACAGGGTCAAAACTTTAATCCAGATTTGACCCAAGAACCTGTTTCCTACTACCCGTGTTATCAATCATCTTAAAAAATTGCTCATAAAAATTGCAGACATAAAAAATCTTGACAACATTTAATAATTAGCATTTGTATAACAGACAACTAGTAATAAATCAAATGATAATAGGCTCAGACTAATGTTTTTTTAGGAATCATACTACTTGCTTTTACTTTTAATCAAATCTAGGTTAGATTTAAATTGGCTTTCAACAAGACTGACCTAGGTGGGTTTTCACCACTTTAAAGATTTATTTCCTTTTCTATTATCTGTGAAGAACTCAACTTGGGCCTGATATCATTTCAATGAGCTTCTGATCATTTACAGAATAAAATTTAATTTCAGAGATTTGTTAGCCATTCTTATAAACTTCTACTAGGAAAAAATCCACTACACCCCAGAGACACCAGAGCAAAAGAAAGTGGCAACTGGCTGTCACCCTCTGGTTGACACTAAAGGTGCTCCTACTATCTCATCTTTGAGTAAACTATTCAGTGGCATAAAAATATCAATTTGCACAGGGCATCTTCAGAAATTTTCAAGGCAAATCTAAACTTTAGCAGAACCTAGCAGAGCTTCCTTCTTTTCATTCTAAATACCACTGTATAAGCATGATTGGGTAAAACCAAGAGTCTGGAAGTGGAAATAAATTGCCTTCAACCAACAGACAATAACGCTGCATGATATAAAGGAAATGTCAGAGGTTAACTGGTGTCAATGATTGCTACATCTCCCAGCAGTCAGCCACAAAAAGGGCTGTCAGTATTGCTATCAGCTAAAAATCTCTCCAATTGATAGGCAGCTTAAAAGGTCAAGTGTATGCAAGAGCAAAATGTAATCCTTTTTGCATGCATTGCAGTATTTTCACCATATGATAAATATCACTTGTTAGCAGTCTTAATGTAATGGGGCAATACAAGATCAGAAAATTATGTGTCTTTTTAAAATTTATATGAAGGTAAAACAATGTATATACAGTTAATGTCAATTAGGAACAATAAACTTTTTTCTATTGAAACATGTTAAATAGTACAATGCTTTTAATCTTTAGACAAAGTCGAGTTATTCAAAAATCTTAACAGTTTTTCTTTCATTCAGTAAATAAAAGCAACTGTGACAGTTCCAACCATTAATGGTAATGATGGATCCCACTAGCAACCAGCATTTTGCAGCTATTCTTAGGATAAATTTAGCTAAGCTCAGCATGTCAACTTAGAGCAAACAATTTGCTATGTTTTCTTCCTCTCCTCACATAGTCACATTATAGTGACTTCTCCAATGTTTTTTGCCTTGCAGCAACTTCCAACTGTGGAGCCACAAAATATACACCGTGTGTATATATACAATATTATATATCATATTATAGATATGATACAGATATATGATACATATTATATAATATTGTATTGATATATTTATATCATATATCATATATAAGAGCAAATATATACAAATATAAAAATATATACACATAAGATGTATATCATATATGATATATGTGTATATATACATATATGTGTGTGTGTATATATATATACACACACACATATTATAATATATATCTTATCTCCTATTGATTGTATTTCTCTAGAGAGCCCTGACTACAACAAAAGGTGAAAAAGAGAAGAGGGACAAGCCTATACAAAGATGTGTTATTAAATTGCTAACCAATGTGGAAAACTGGTGCTCAATCAACTGTGGAGCCACGAAATGTACCTCAAAATTGTCCTCCAGCAGTTCTGAGTTGCCCATTGTGAGTGTTAGGTGAGTTATCATAGTCATCACATTCCCTAAGTCAGAGATGTTCCAGGGCAGGAAACAAATGACCAGCAATGGACATGTGGTCAACATGAAATTGGTCTAACTCTACGTAGGACCATTGGCTGGAATCAGAAATAAGGCAGAAGGCATATGCAGCAGTACACAGGAGGAATCCAGTACAATCTATACCTTGAGACACTCAGATCAATTTAATCCCTTCATTTAGTCCAACTGGTCACTAAGTCTTTTGGTAGTGTCCAGCTACAATATACACAAAAGATTCAATACAGAGGGGTTAGTGGAACACACAAAAACTAATTTTCTAAACACTTGTAATAATCAAATAGAAAATAACATTTAAAATTGAATACTAACTCTTGCAATAAAATCTACAATGTATTTAGGAATTTTAACAAGAATTTATAAAAATCTCTGCTGTGATCTGAATGTTTGTGTCCCTGCAAAATGCATGCATTAAAATCCTAATCCTCAAGGTAATAGCATTATTAGGTGGGATATTTGGGAGGTGATTAGGTCATGAGGGCAGAGCCCTCATAGATAGAATTCGTGCCCTTATAAAAGAAGTCCCAGAGAGATCCCTAGCTCCTGCTGTCAGTTGAGGTTACAGCACAAAGACACCATCTATAAACCAGAGGTCAGGCACTCCACAAATGCTGTATCTGCCACCATCTTGATCTTGGACTTCCTTGCCTCCAAAATTGTGAGAAATAAACTTCTATTATTTATAAGCTACCCAGCTTTTGGTATTTTGCTACAGCAGCCCAAATGGACTATGGCAATATGGAGAAAATGTTAAAATGCTACCAAAAGATATAGAAGATTAGCTGAATTAATGAAAAGACATCTCACACACTTGAATAGAATGAATGAAACTCACTTACACATTTAAAGCAACCCTAAGCAAAATTCTAATTAAATATTTTGAGAAACTTGATAAACTTACTATGAGATTTATTTGGAACAATAAAGGTACATGAATAATCTTTTTTTTTAAATAAAGCAACATAGTTTTGTTGCAGGAACAGATGGATAGACCAATGGAACAAAATGCAAGTTAGAGATAAGACAATTGATATGGAAGTAATATAGGTAGGACTACAAATAATAGTAAAAGAAAGTATTGTTCAATAGATGATATTGGGAAAACTGGCTCACTATTTGAAGAAAATAAAACTGGATGCCTGAGTAAAACCACATACAGCATTTGAAGGTAGACTGTAGATGAAATAAAGATCTAAATGAGTAATGTCAAACTATAAGGTATCTTTGTAAAATTGTCATAGACTTAGCTTTTGTTTCAGAACAGATGTTGGAGAATCTTTGTGACCTAAGAAAGAGAAAGGGCCTCTTAAAATTTCAAATCCACAATCACTAAGACCAAATGCACTGATTTATTTATTAAAACTTTCTGTGACCAGCCACAAAAATACATACACTATGTGATTTTGCTTATATGAGGCACCAAGATCAAAGACATAGAAAGTAAAATGGTGGTTGCCAGGAGCTAGAGGGAGGGGAGAAGAGAGAATTGCTGTTTCCTGGGTATAAAGTTTCAGTTTTGAAAGATGAAAAAAGTTCTGGAAATTGGTGCACAACAATGTGAATGTGTTTCACACTACTGAACTGTACACACAAAAATGGTTAAGATGGCCACATTTTTCTGTATATTTTACCACAGTTTATTTAAACCACATATTCTGTTGGTCACCGTGTTAATGATGTTATTGAAATAGGAGAAAATATTGGTGATACCTGGTGAGAGGTATGAGGAACTCCTGCAAATTTACTGAGAACTTTAGAAAAACATGCAAAGAAAAATAAACAGACAATACGTACATGACAGAAAATAAACATGTAAAGAGGTGCTCAAAAGTATTATTAATCAGAGAAGTGCAAATAAATCATAGAAATGCAATAGTGAAAAATCATTTTACGCCTATCGTGCTGGCATAATTATATTGGCTTAATGAAGCCAAATTTAGCCAAGGATGTGGGATATGGGAACCTTTATGAGTACATCAAAGCAGTGTAACCTATGGCCCTTCTAGAGAACAAAGTGACACCACTTAATCATATTAAGCATACTTTAACCAGTCTTTTCAGTTCTGAGTACATATATTCTAAAGAAATTATCACACAGCTCCATAAGGCCTCAGGATGTTCATTGTGGTACTATTTGTGGTAGCAAAGAATTGGAAGCAACCTGGTTCAAAAACATCTTAAGGGAGCTGTTAAAAGTAGTGAAGTAGGTTTCCATATGGCATCATAAAATAATCTTTTTTTATAAATAAAAAATACAATGTCAATCAAGTCCATTGAAAATACAATTACTCAAAACAATAGTACATAGTCTGCAAACCTTGATACACTTTCAACATCAAATGTTTATTATGGTGTCGGGGGAACGGGAGTAGACTTTGAGAAAAAAGGAGAGAAAGATACTGCCAATAAGTTCAGGTATTCTGTGAGGCTGCAGGTGTCTGGGAAAAACCCAGTCAGCCTAACAGGCTGCCCAAGTTTCCTAATTTGTGGTCACTGGTGTTAAAATTTGTGAGAAGTTTTGATCACAAGTTATAGTCATTTTTTCAAGGTAGCAGAGTTTCAGATTGTTTGCTTCCCTAAGAAAATGAAATAAATCAATAATAACTTTACTGTTCTATGTTTACTGTATTTGTATCAATGAAGTACTCTCTGGGAAGGAAAAAAAGGACCTTAGGTGAAAATACAGCCCATTACTTGAGTTTTCTGTGCCCTTGGTGACACAAAAAACAGCATTATTCACTGCTTTTAAAAATATCATTAAAAGAAAGAAAAGATTTTTTAAAATTTTTTGCTTAGGTCATTACAGTTTTCTTTGATGTTATTTTCATCCTGTTATTGAAGGCCAGAATTAGTAAAATAAAGAGGGTAATTTTAAATTGAATAAAAATGTAATAACTCTTTAATAAAAAAGTTTGAAATCTTTAAAAATATACATAGAAGACAAGATTTGGCAACTGCTCAGAGGCTCCTGGTTCTCAGCTTGCTTAACTCTTCTTCGCAGCGATGGAAAGGGGTGACTCTATATGGTGTTAACTCAAACCTGTTTGGCTACATGCTCATCCACAAAGTGGACATAATATACAACATGTCTCAAGAGTTGCACCTGCCAACTTGATTGGCAACACATCACTACAGTGCTGTGTAGGAATGGGGAGTGGCATGTTTACCATATTTATAACATACTCAACTCTTGCAGGTAAAAATTCTAAAATGCACTGAAACCTTTTGAAATAAATTCCAACTTCTGGCAAAACAAGACTTTCTAAGAATAAGTTATTGAAAATGCTAATGAATGTCTCAGAACTTTAGGAGTTATATATATAACAAATTTACCCTTTGAGTACATGTAAATTAAATTTAAATGTGTAAAGTTTAAATTTCCTCTCAATATAGCTATTTAAGGATGTAAGAAGAGAACAACTTAATTTTGTGGTTTGGATGTGACCTCAATTGGTAACAGAGTTGTTCCAACATCCCTAAACATCATGGACAGAAAAGAAAAAAGATTTTTTAAAAAGGAGAAGTATTTTCTCTTTTTCACCCAGCTTCATATTCCTGTTTGGCCAGAAGGTACAAAAGGATGAGTGATGGACTAAGTACAACTAGGGCATGGAATGGACTTTTCCTTGCCTGGATGACAGGCAGTTAATACTCCCCTGAGTGGCTCCTTCTGTTTATTTATAAAGAATACCTCATCTGCTTTCCCTATCTTTCCCTTTATTCTCTTTCTTTTCTAGCATTACTCCTTGAAATGAAAAAAAAAAAGAAAAAGATCAATATCGTTCATGAAGATACATTCTCTTAACAAAAGCTTAGTATTCTAAATACAATTATATATAAATGATTGTATGTTATGAACAAGTATGATTTGATTTAATCATTTAAAATCAATTAGTATAATTCACATTAATAAAATCGAGAGAAAAAATATCTTTATAGATGCTGAAAATAACACTGATAAAACTTCTCATTTAATGTAAATACTCAGCAAACTAACATAGATAGTTGTAAAATATTAAGCAAAGTGTGTATTCAATTGAACATTACTCCCCTGAGACTGAGAAAAAAATCTGTTACTACTTCTACTTAACACTGTTCTGGACATCCTAGTTCAGGAGTCCCCAACCCCTGGGCCACAGATTGGTAGCAGCCACTACCAGAACAAGGCCACATAGCAAGAGGTGAGCAGTGAGTGAGCAAGGGAAGTTTCATCTGTATGTATAGCCACTCCCCATTGATCACATTACCACCTGAGCTCTGACTCCTATCAGATCAGTGGTGGCATTAGATTCTCACAGGAGTGCAAAACCTATTGTGCACTATGCATGCGAGGAATCCAGGTTGTGTGCTCCTTATGAGAATCTAATGCCTGATGATCTGAGGTAGAGCTGAAGTGGTGGCAGGCTTTATAGTGGCAAGTGAGTTGACGTACTTCAATGGTACAGCTGCATCTGGTGGGAGGCTAAGTCAGAATCCAACACTTATTTTAGTCTGCATATGGCCCACCCATTATTTTATTTACCACTTCCATTCACACCTCTTTCCCACACTGTACAACACTTGTCTCAGTCACAGTTTTGGTAAGCCCACAAGCTAACCCTAGCCAAAATGAGGACAAAACGCCCTGGAGAGCTTCTTTGAAAAGGAGGAAAGACCCAGTGATGAGCCAGCAGAAGACTCTGAGACTGCCAATCCAAAAAAAGCTGCATTTAATAGAAAATACCAAGAGTCCTACTTGAATTACGTGTTCACTGCAACAAGTGTTCACATTCTCCAAGCTCATCCAACAAAGCCATGAATCTTTCAAAACTGCTTTGCCTCATGGAGACCAATCACCCTGCATTAAAAGACACGACTTTGGAGTTGTTTTTTTGTTTTGTTTTTTTGTTTTTTGTTTTTAAGTAAAGTGAACACAAAGAGCAGAAGCAATTATTGAAGGCCACCACTTCATCAAATGTGTCTACACTGAAACGATCATTTTTAGTGGCTAACCACACTGCTAAGCTAAGAAGCCATTTAGCATTAGTGAAGAGTTGATCCTGCCTGCTGCTAAGAACATTTGTCTTGAACTTCTAGGAGAGGATGCCCTTCAAAAGGTGACACGCCTTCCCCTTTTGGCTAGCACCATAACTAGACGAACTGATGAAGTAGTAGAGGACATTGAGGCACAGTTGGTAAAGAGGATTAATGAGTCACCATGTTACGCAATCCAGGTTGATGAGTCTACCGATGTTGACAAGGCAACAATGCTTGTTTTGCGCAATATATTTTTCAGGAGGATGTGCATGAGGATATGTTATGTGCGCTTTTGTTGCCAACCAACACCGCAACTGAATTATTCAAGTCTTGAATAACGACATTTCAGGAAAACTGAACTGATCAATTTGTGTGAGTATATGCATACATGGAGAGGCTGCCATAACTAGAGGACCTTCTGGTTTCACTACTCAGGCCAAAGAGATGGCTTCTGAATGTGACTCTACACACTGTGTCATCCAGAGAGAAAAGCTGGCTAGCCAAAAACATCACCTGAACTTAACATTTTGCAGGATGTGATTAAGTTATCAACCACATTAAAGTACATGGCCTTAACTCACATCCGTTCACTCATCTCTGTGAGGAGATGGACGCATAGCACATGTTTTCTCTTATACACAGAAGTGAGATTGCTTTCTAAAGGTAAACCACTGGCCAGAGTTTTTTAGTTACAAGAGCAAGTCCAGAGATTTCTTTTAGAAAAGCAGTCACTACTTGGCAGCAGATTTTAGTGGCAAAGAATGAGTCACAAAATTTGCTTACTTGTGTGACATATTCAACCTGCTCAAGAAACTCAATCTGTCACTTCAGGGGAGAATGACAACTGTGTTCAAGTCGGCAGATAAAGTGGCTGCATTCAAAATCAAACTGGGATTATGGGAGTGACAAGTGAATATTTGAATTTCTGACATGTTTCAAACATTAGCAGAGATTTTGAAAGAGATGGACCCAGGGCCTTCTTTCCCCCAGCTGGTGCATGATCACCTGTCTCAGTTTTCAAAAGGGCTTGAGCATTACTTGCCAACCACAAAAGACGCCTGAACTGAGAGGGAAGGGATCCACAATCAATTTGTGAATAATCCAGGTGAATCGACTTTGTCTGTGCTAGAAGAGGATTAACTGCTTGAGATTACAAATGATGGTAACCTTAACAGTATGTTTGAGACAACTTCAGATCTCCATACTTTCTGGATGAAAGTCAAGGCAGAATATTGTGAGACTGTCACAAAAGCACTGAAAACTCTGCTTCCATTTCCAATATCCTGTGTCTTTGATGCAGGGTTTCCTGCAGTGACAGCAACCAAAATGAGATTATGGAGTAGACTGGACATAAACAACACACTTCTGGTGTCACTATCTCCCATCACCCCAGATGGGACTGGCTAGTTACAGGAAAACAAGCTCAGAGCTCTCACTGATTCTACATTATGAGTTGTAAAAATATTTCATCACATATTACAATGTAATAACAGTAGAAATAAAGTGTACAATAAATGCAATGTGCTTGAATCATATCGAGACAATTCACCCGCCACCAGTCAGTGGAAAAATTGTCTTCCATGAAGCTCATCCCTGTTGCCAAGAAGGTTGGGAACCACTGCCCTAGTCAATACAGTAAAGCAGGAGAAAGGAATGAGAAGTACAAAGAATTAGAAAGAAAACATAAAGCTGTCATTGTTTACAGATAGTTTAAATAGAAAATTCAGAGCATCTACAGGTAACCTTCAGAAATAATCATTGAATTAAGCAAGATTAATAGATCCAATGACTGTACAGAATCCATTGCACTTCAGTGTACTATCAACAAAAATGGAAATGCAAATAGCATTTGGGAATTACTGTATATAGTTAAAACTGAAGTTTACATCAAAGTATCCCTGATATTACAGCAATAGGCACACCTCAGATTATCACTATATTATGGTACCTACAATTTACCAGCAGTTTTCTTCATAAGATTAAACAGGTATTCACATTGACTACCTTATTTATCCTTCTAAGATCACTTAAATAACATAGATAGTTGGTAAAATTAAACTTTGTTGATTAATTAAAACTCTAGAAGAGGAGGATAGGCCTGAAACCTTATGAAGAATGGATACTTCAAATCAGCATAGCAATTAACAATGGACATTTGAGGTTTTTGCTTGAATGGTCCAAACTCCCTATATTAATCAGGGATGCCTCATTACCACTGTCATTAGAGCTGAAATTTCTGGTCAATGTAACAAGATTTAAAGCAAACATAAGAGAAATAAGAAAATAAAATTTCAAAAGTATCATAAAGCACAAAGAAAAGTATGAGCATTAAATTAATTGTCAAATGGAATTGAATTTGTATCCCAGCTCTGCCATTTACTGTGTGCCTCTTACCAATTCACCACTGTAAGTTTCAATCTACTCATAATAAAATGTCAACAAAGATAGTATTTATCTCAAAAGATTGAGATATGTCAGATACAATTATAAATATAAATTTGTGTGTGTGTGTGTGTTTGCATACTCAGTTAATTTAGTAAGGATAATGGCCAGATTTGAATCCAGTTAGTTTGATTCCAAAATCTGTGCTCCTAACTACTAAATACACTATTCATTGATTTATTATCTATTCAATAATTTATTTATTCAACAAATATGTGTTGACTACTTACTAAATATGGGGCACTATTTTATGTACTGGGATACATGAGTAAACCAAAATAGACAAATAGTCTCCTACTTTATTGTAGTTATATAGTTAGAATGTAAGGAGTGTACATTCTAGCCAGTAGAAAGAGCCAGCAAATGTAGTACATGACAGCTAAAAGCAACAAATAAATTATATAGTGGTAATTAGATATTTAAAAATTAAACCTTAAAAAATATATTTAAATTTTTTAATTTTTAAATTAAATGTTAAAAACTGTTTACAATGGCATCCACCATGAGATTATCTTGGAATACATGGAAGAAAATAAGGCAAAACATACATTCAGAAAACCACGAAACATTAAAGACATACATAGGAAAAATTAAGACCTACATGAACAGAGGGATATCCCACATCCATAGACCTAGAGACTTGATTTTATAAAGCAGTTATTTCCAAGTTATTTTACAAATTCGATCATTCCGATAAAATTTCCAGAAATTTTGGTGGAAATTGATGAGATTATAAAATTTATGTAGAAATGCAATGAGTCAGGAATAGCCAAGATAATCTTGAAAGAGGAACATGAAGGAAAAAAGGCTAAGAAGAAAAGGAGAAAGGAGAAGGAGAAGGAAGAGAGGAAAAAAATGGGGAGAAGAATGAGAAGAAAATTAAACTTACATCACAAAATAGCAAGGCTTACATAAAACACTAATAACTAAGACAATATGGTATTAATACAAGGATAAACAAATAGGTCATTGGCATATAATAGAGTTCAGGAACAAATCCACATTGTTACCATCACCAGAATTAATTTTTAAAAAATAGTACAAAGAAAAGATGACAGTTTTTATTTATTTATTTAACTTTTATTTTAGGTCGAGGGGTACATGTTCAGGTTCTTATATAGTTAAAATGTGTCACAGGGTTTTGGTGTATAGATTTTATCACCCATGTAATAAGCATAATACCCAATAGGTAGTTTTTCAATCCTCACCCTCCTCCCACCCTCTGCCCTCAAGTAGGCCCAGTGTCTTTTGTTCCCTTCTTTGTGTCCATACATACTCAATGTTTAGCTCTCACTTATAAGTGAGAACATGTAGTATTTGGTTTTCTGTTCCTGTGTTAGTTTGCTTTGCATAATGGCCTCCAGGTCCATCCAAATTGCTGCAAAGGACATAATCTTGTTCTTTTTTATGGCTATGTAGTGTTCCATGATATATATGTACCACATTTTCTTTATCCAGTCTACTATTGATGGGCATCTAGGTTGACTCCATGTCTTTGCTATTGTACCGTGATGAACATATGCATGCATGTCTTTATGGTAGAATGATTTATATTCCTTCAGGTGAATACTCAATAATGGGATTGCTGGGTTGAATGGTAGCTCTAAGTCCTTTGAAAAATCACCAAACTTCTTTCCACAATGACTGAACTAATAATTTATATTCCCAATAGTAATTTATAAGCATTCCCTTTTCTCCACAATATCACCAGTATCTGTTTTTTTTGTTTTTGTTTTTACTTTTTAATAACAGCCATTCTGACTGGTGTGAGATGGTGTCTCATTGTGGTTTCAACTTGCATTTCTCTGATGATTAGTGATGTTGAACATTTTTTCATATGCTTGTTGGCTGTGTGTATGTCTCCTTTGAAAAGTGTCTCTTCATGTCCTTTGCCCACTTTTTAATGGGGTTATTTGTTTTTGGCTTGTTCAATTGTTTAAGTTCCTTATAGATTCCAGATATTAGACCTTTGTTAGATGTGTGATTCGTAACTACTTTGTCCCATTCTGTTGTCTGTTTACTCTGTTGATGGTTTCTTTTGCTGGACAGAAACTCTTTAGTTTAATTAGATCCCCGTTATCAATTTTTGTTTTTGTTGCAATTGTTTTTGGCATCTTTGTCATGAAAACTTTGCTAGGGCCTATGTCCAGAATGGTATTTCCTTGGTTATCTTCCAGAGTTTTTATAGCTTTAGGTTTCACATTTAAGTCTTTCATCTAACCATCTCGAGTTGATTTTTGTATACGGTGTCAGGAAAGGGTCCAGTTTCAATCTTCCACATGTGACCAGCCAGTTATCCCAGCACCATTTATTGAATAGGGAGTCCTTTTCCCATTGCTTGTTTTTGTCAGCTTTATCAAAGATCAGATGGTCATAGGTGTGCATCATTATTTCTGGGCTCTCTAGTCTCTTCCATTGGTCTATGTGTCTATTTTTGTACCAGTACCATGCTGTTTTGGTTACTATAGTCCTATAGTATAGTCTGGATAAAGTGATGCCTCCAGCTTAGCTCTTTTTGCTTAGGATTGCCTTGGCTACTCAGTCTTTTTGGTTCCATATGAATTTTCAGCTAGTTTTTTCTAAGTCTGTGAAGAATGTCATTGGTAGTTTGACAGGAATAGTATTGAATGTGCAAATTGTTTCAGGCAATAATATGGCCATTTTAACAATATTGAATCTTCCTGTCCATGAGAATGGAATGTTTTTCCATTTGTTTGTATAATCTCTGATTTCTTTAAGCAGTATTTTGTAAGTACTGTTGTAGAGATCTTTCACCTCCCTAGTTAGCTGTATTGCTATGTATTTTATTCTTTTTGTGGCTATTGTGAGAGGGATTAAGTTCCTGATTTGGTTTTCAGCTTGGACATTTTTGGTGTATAGAAATGCTACTAGTTTTGTGCGTTGATTTTGTATCCTGAAACTTTGCTGAAGCTGTTTATCAGATCTAGGAGCTTTTGGGCAGAGACTATGGGGTTTTCTGGCTATAGAATCATGTCATCTAGACACAGAAAGAGTTTGACTTTCTCTCTTCCTATTTGGATGCCTTTTTTATTTCTTTCCCTTGCCTGATTGCTCTGGATAGGACTTCCAGTACTATGTTAAATAGGAGTAGTGAGAGAGGGCATCTTTGTCTTGTGTTAGTTCTCAAGGAAGATGCTTTCATCTTTTGCCCATTCAGTATGATGTTGGCAGTGGGTTTGCCATAAATGGCTCCCATATTTTGAAGTGTGTTCCATCAATGCCTAGTTCTTTAAGGGTTTTTAACATGAAGAAATGTTGAATTTTATTGAAAGCCTTTTCTGCATCCATTGAGATGATCATGTGGGTTTTTGTCTTTAGTTCTATGTGATTAATCACATTTATTGATTATATATGTTGAACTAAACTTACATCCCAGTAATAAAGCCTATTTGATCATGATGGATTACCTTTTTAATGTGCTGCTGGATTCAGTTTGCTAGCTTTCTTTGAGGATTTTTGCATGTATGTTCATCAAGGGAATTGGCGTGAAGTTTTCCTTTTTTGTTGTATCTCCACCAGGTTTTGGTATCGGGATGGTGCTGGACTCATGGAATGCATTAGGGAGGAGACTCTTTTTCAGTTTTGTTGGAATAGTTTCAGTAGGAATGGTACCACCTTTTCTTTATACATCTAGTAGAATTCAGCAATGAATCCATTAGGTCCTAGGCTTTTTTGTTGGTAGGCATTTTTTTTTTTTTTTTTTACTGATTCAATTTTGGAACTGATTATTGGTTTGTTGAGGGATTGAATGTCTTCCTAGTTCAATCTTAGGAGATTGTGTTTCCAGGAATTTATCCATTTCTTCTAGGTCTTCTAGTTTACGTGCATAGAGGTGTTCATAGTAGTTTTGGCTTAAATTTCCCATTGTGTGTTAGAGATTTCTTTTTATTTTCATAGGGCTAGTAGAAGTCTAGCTAGCAATCTATCAATCTTATTTATTCTTTCAGAAAAAGACCCCAAACCCTGGATTTGTTGACCTTTTGTGTGGTTTTTTGAATCTCAGCGTTCATTTCAGAGGAACAAAATTTTGAAGTCTGTCAGAGGTGGAAACCAAGAAATGGCTTCCCTACTTCTTATCTCTAAAGTAGAGATGACATTAAGTTATTGTTTTAGAAGAGATAATATACATAAAGCATATTAATACAATTCCCAGCACGTATTAGAGTAACAATAACTTGCATCCAATTTCCCACTGTTAGTTGTTACCACTGTGTGCATGAGTACATTTGTGTTCATCAACATAACCATCTCATCTGAGAGTTAGCATCTCTTCATGCATTAAGATCAGAAATCTCATTCCCAGTAGAAGACTACTTTCTGAAGTGGCTTGGGCATTTACACATTCCATCATTTCTTGTATGCTTACACAACATTATTATTGCCATTTTCTTCAGGCTATGCTCTTACTACCTGAATATCAACGCATAAAAATAAAAAAGTTCTCTCAACAGATTGCTGTTTGCCCATTCTACCTCTAAAACATTTTTTCTTGACATACTATTTTCTCTATATTTTTTAACAAGATTCACAAATATTAACTGAGTGGCTATTTTTAGGCATCCATTGTGTGTGCTGATCAAAGGGTGAACAAGGCTCAGTCTCTCTGCTTTCTAGGAGTTTATTTCTTTGATGAACAACAGATAAGTAAAGAGGCAGTAATGATGATGTGCTAAGTACTGTTAAAGGTAATACAGAGAGTGCAGGAACCTAGGAACCACTTGACTCACCCTTAGAAAGTCAAGACAGATTCCACAGAGGAACAGAAACTTGAAAGCTGATTAGATGATTTGAGATCAAGGGGAAATCAGTCAGGCATATCAGAGACTATAATACTGTGTTGCAGACTCCAGGCAGAACATACGGCTTACTGAAGAAAACAGCAAGGTCAGTGCAGCTGGAGCCCATGAGGCCCAGGGATGAGAAGAGATCAGAGTAAGACACAAGAACCATCAATGCAGAAGAAATGTTCATTTTTCTAAACAACTTTCCCTTAATACTAGAGTCTTATTAACCAGTCATTTTAGCTAAATTTTTCCAATTGATTGCAGCCACTTAGGCATCAACAAATATTTACCTGGAGGCTATTTTGTTCCCCACACTACACTAGTCTCCAAGAACACAATAAAGAATAAACCAAAGAAGTCCCAGCCCTCATCAAGTTTACATTCTAATAGGGGAGATAGGCAATAATAAAGTAAATAAATGTATTTATGAAAATACTTATTATTGCCAGAAAGTAATAAACAAGACACTGTGATAGAGATTAAAAGAGGTCAGAGACTTTTTAGAGAGGGCATTCAGAGAAGGCCTTTGTTAGAAGATAACATTTAAACTAAATCTTATATAATGAGGAGCCAGTCATGTAAAGATCCAGGAAAAGAGCATGGAAAAGGCCCTGTTGTACTAAAGACACAGATATGCTCCTGGAACCAAGTAGAGGCAAGTCATGCAAGACATTGGGAACCAGCTTGGAATTTATTGTAAGGACAAAAGGAAGCATCTGAAGGGTTTTAAACAAAGCAGTGGCATGATCTGCTTTATGTCTTAATAAAATCAGTTTTTCTGTGAAATGATTGAATACCAGGCACAGTGCTGGTGCTAAAAAAAATTTGCTGAATCAATGAATGAAGAGATTATTCCATATCCTTTAAACCAAAACTTTCCATTAACTGTCTCACTTTTTGGAAGTTACAATAGGATGTGCTCCAGCAAAACAAGGACAAAAATCTAAGAAAAAAAAAAGACATAAGATCCAGGAAACAATAAACAGAAATACTAAGGTACTATCTGGGCAGTAGATCAAGAGACAAAGAGATTGGCTACCAAGATTGAGGCAGGAAGCTAGCAGGCTCTAGAGGGATTGTCAAGAAAAAAACACAACTGACAATTATATGTTTGGTTCTATCAAATTTTTTGAGTATTTAGGAAATAGATTAATACCAGAGAACACTGAAACATATACAAATGAAAAATTCAAATATTAACTCTCAGGAAAAGAAAACAAGATCACAGCAAACCAATTGGCTCAATAATAAACTGAACCATCCATAATATAAACACCAGCTACTAATTTAACCAAATATGTTTATGGGATGGGAGGAGAGAAGCTGGATAAAAAACCAAGTTTCTCACCTGCCAAAATAAAAACTATTAGCTATTATCTAAAACTGATAAATCAATAAATAGAAGTGAGTTTACTGTTAATAAGTATTGGCAGTAATGTCAGCAAAAACAGCTAAGCATTAAGAATAATTGCTTCTGGGAAGGAGTGGGAAGAGGTGAGGCAAGGACCTGGTGCTTCTCATTTCCACATGACATTTTGGAATGTGTCTTCTATTACTCTCTTTTGTCTCGCTCCTTTCCTTATCTCTTGTGACCACACTAGCTCCAGGCCTGCCCTCTTAGCTAACTCCTGTGTCTTTTTGTCAGATACTACAGAGAACTTGACAGAGAAATTTACCCATTTATACAACTGCTGATCCAAGCTATCCAAACTGTTTCTGAATTCAGTTTACCTAGTCACCATGACATCTCACATCTATGACATTTCTTGATTATTTATATATCTTATACAGCTATATTACTTTTTATTCATATTTCTCCTCTAAAGACTGAATAAACTATATAAGGATGTTGAAATAACTCTAGAGAATTTCCCCCTTTAACTGATTTGAAAAATTTTTCTTTAAACCTGAAGTTTCTGTAAACAGATAAAGAATATATCCATTATTCCTGCCCCATGTTCACTATTTTGTCCGACTATGCCCCCAGTAATAATTATTTCATATAATGTCTTTATTTCCAATCCATTTTAGACCTATTAAAGAAAACATTTATGTAAAATATTTATTACTTCCTTTTTAATTCGAAGGTTTTACAAGCAAAGTTAATTTGGCATTAATAGCTTGTCAAATAAAGTCAAAAAATTCCAACAGTCACATGTAGTTATAGTCCAGCTCACAAAAGCTATTCATAAATTACAATGGACTTTGGGGACTCAGGGGAAAGTGTGAGAGAGGGGTGAGGGATAAAAGACTACAAATCACTGAAGAACTTACTCATGTAACAAAATACCATTTGTTCCCCAAAAACCTATGGAAAATATAAAATAAAATGCTTCCTGAGCACTTAAAGATAAATACAATTGTAACAAAATGTCTAACTATATACTTATTCATTGAATGTCCATCTCCCATATTAAATGGAAAGCCTTGTAAGGACCATGTCTATTTTGTTGACTGTGAAATTTCTAGGATTCCATGTACCTAAGTCCTGGCATATAGTAGATAATAAATATGTGTTGAATGAAAAATAGATAAAATTATTGGTTGCAATTTTATTTATTTGTAAAATTGAAGTTATAGTATATTCAAGGATATTTCTGGAATTCTAATCAACACAAGCTAATAAATTGAGCACAGGAAACAAGAACACCATTAGAGAAAGCTAATGAAAGACCAGCACAATATAATTATCCTTCTAAACAGGAGCACTTGAAGGGACCAATGCTATTTTAAAGCATGTGACTGTGTGGTGAAGTATATAGAAATGATGACTCCATCCATTTAGAAAAGTGTATCAAATGAAAGGTCCTTTGAGGGCGGAGATTTTTGCTATATTTGTCAGTGCTCTCTCCTGTGCTTGGCATTCAGAATGCACTCACTAAATGTATTTTTGAATTAGTGAATAAAAAATTAATGTTATTGCATTCTATTAATTCACATTTTATACTGAGAGCAAGAGCACTTCTGTTCTATAACACAACCAAAATTGGTTATCATCAGTTTAACTCTGGAGCCTCACAAGACCCTAAAATGCCTTCTGAATCATCAAAGATAGAATGCCATTCACGTTATATCACAATTTTGTTATTAATCACATATCATTGCTTTC